>NC_000012.12:109126794-109278309 GCF_000001405.40 Homo sapiens
TTCTGGGTCTATACTCTCAGAGGGCCCTGGGAGACTCAATCATTTGAGTAATTTCCTGGCTGAGGGAGAAGCTGAAATGTACAGGCTTCTCTTAAATATGTTTTGCTCCCTGAAGTTGTTCCAAAATCAGAGGCCTTGAATGCTGTACACCCGTACTCTAGGATGGAATGGTTTGGGATTTGGCACAAAACCAGAGATGTAGTAATCTTTTGCTTACTCTAGCAGTACTGGCTGGGATTCCCTGAAGACCCAGATGCTCTGACATGTTGTAAGTTTGAAAACTGCTGACCCTCTTTTGGGTGTCTTTTTCAGGCTCTGATTCCACCAATCCAATAGGGTAGCCCATTAAACAATTGAATCAACGACCTGGTCACCTCCGCCTATGACAAATCTAGCTTTAGAGTCAGGTAGCCCAGGGTCGAATGCCATGTATACCTCCAAGCTGTGTGACTTCAAACAAGTCACTCCACCTCTCTGGACATTGGATTCTCATGTGTGAAATGGGATACTTGTAAACAAGATGCTTATAGTGGAAGGCATTATTGGTATTATTAATTATTAGGACAAAGCTCTTACTCAGGAGTTCAAGATCAGCCTGGGCAACAAAGTGAGATCCTGTCTCTACAGAAAAAAAAAAAACCCAAAAAACCAAAAATTAGCTGGGCATGGTGGCACACGCCTGTAGTCCCAGCTACTCTGGAGGCTGAGGTAGGAGGATGGCTTCAGCCTGGGAGGCAGAGGTTGCAGTGAGCCAAGATCATGCCACTGCACTCTGGCCTGGGTGATAGATCCAGAATTCGCCTAAAAAAAAAAAAAGAATAAAGTTCTTAGTATTTGCAGTCAGGGAGTGTCAGGGAGCACACTCACTCCCTAGATTCCTAGAGATGACAGTTGCAATTATTTTGCTGTCCCCGAACATTTGTTCCTCTGGTGTAAGGGAGCATGGTGTGTCACCAGTGCCGTCAAGCACAGTTGCAGGGGAAGGCGAAGTTCTTGGATCACACCATGGGGTGTGCCTTTTCAAGTCTTACAGTTCGCAGGGAGGGTAGACCTCCCTCCACTGCCAGCTAAAAGTTGTCACGTATCTTCTTCAGATGTAAAAATCTTAAAGGATCATCCTTCACAACATAGCTGATTTGCTAATCACAGCTCCTGCTTTAGGAACTTTGGCAGAGTCCCCAAGAGTAAATTCTGCTTGAGATGTCCTGCTCCCTTGGCAGCCTGGCGAGCTCCTATTCAACCTTCAAAGTCCCAGTGCAGATGCTCTTTACTTTTTGCTCTCCCTCACGTCTGTCTCCAACCCGGAAGGTATCCTCTCTGAACTGCCTTCTAGATGTGGCTTTTCCTGATTCTGAGATTCTAGCAATTAGATCTTATGGAGTTTTGCTCTGTCGCCCAGGCCGCAGTGCAGTGGTGTGATCTCGGCTCACTGCAACCTCCACCTCCCGGGTTCAAGTGATTCTCCTGCCTCAGCCTCCCTAGTAGCTGGGATTACTGCTGCCTGCCACCACACCTGGCTAATTTTTTTGGACTTTTTTTATTTTATTTTATTTTATTTTTTAGACGGAGTTTCACTCTTGTTTCCCAGGCTGGAGTGCAATGGCACGATCTTGGCTCATTGCAACTTCCGCCTCCTGGGTTCAAGTGATTCTCCCACCTCAGCCTCCCAAGTAGCTGGGATTACAGGCACCCACCACCACGCCCAGCTAATTTTTTGTGTTTTTAGTAGAGACGGGGTTTCACTATGTTGGCCAGGCTGGTCTCGAACTCCCGAACTCAAGTGATCTGCCCCCCTCAGCCTCCCAAAGTGCTGGGATTACGGGCGTGAGCCACTGCACCCAGTCAGTAATTAGATTTTAATTTTAAAAGTTTTTCTTTATTTGGGCAGAACATAGCTATCTCCCCAAAAGTCTTTCCAAGAAGAACCCAAAGTCTACAGAAGTACTTTTGTTGCTTTCTTTTTTTTTTTTTTAAAGCAATAATAGATGGACTTTTTTTTCCCAATTTAATTAATTAATTTGTTTTCTGAGACAGGGTCTCGCTATGTTACCCAGGCTGGTCCTGAACTGCTGGGCGCAAACAATCCTCCCACTTTGGCCTCCTGAAGTGCTGGAATTATAGGCATGAGCCACTGTGTCTGGTCAACTTAATAAATTATTAATTGACAAATAAACATTGCTTATTTATTTGTGGCCTGGACACAGGCCAGGCACAGTGGCTCAGGCCTGTAATCCCAACACTTTGGGAGGCCAAAGTGGGAGGATCACTTGAGGCCAGCCTGGGTGACAAAGCAAGACCCTGTCTCGAAAAAAATAAATAAATAAATAAAAAAGAATGGATACAGATTTAAAAACAAGCCCACAACTCTAAAAAACAAGGTAGTGACCGTGACCATCACTTAGGACCTTTTCTAGAGTTTGTGGACAGAAATTCTGCATGTAGAGCAGGAGAGTGTGAGAATTAGGAGCTCAGGCTCCAAAGTGAGGCCACGTGGGTCTTAAAGTGTGGGCTTAGAGAGTGACTGAGCCTCGGTTTTCTCGCCTGTGAAAGGAGCAGGACCCTGCATGTAAAGCTCTTAGCACAGTGGCTGTCATAGGCCACACACATGCCAGTGACACAGAAAAACACTTGTCGCGACTTATTAGGAATCACTTCCTCTTCCCTGCAACACTCCCTAACATTTCCTTTCTTCCCTTCTTCAACCCCTATGTGGGCATTAAAAAAATAATCCTCTGTTGAAATAACTGAAAAAATGGTCTCCCTGGGCCCCCAAACACACCCAGAGTCCTTAGGAGCATCCTCACTGGATCAGGGAACAGATAGGATGTTAATTCAGCCTGGTCCATGCTGCTGAAAGCCCAGAGACTTTCCCCTTTGGAAAAATGCCTGCCCCTGCAGGGCACCATCCCCTCTGCCCCCCAAAAGCAGTTCTAGGCTGCAGGCCTGGGAAGCTGTCCTTGATGGGGGGATCTGCCTGTCCTGCCTGGGCTGGCCGATCCTTAGAGAGTGGCTCTGACACCTGACCAGGACTGACAGGTGCTGTGAACCAAATGTGAATCCTTTCTGTCCATGAGTGGAGGAAGATGCTCACAGCAGAAGCCGCCATCACTATCACCTGCCTGGTTCTTTCTGTTTGGTGCAGCAGGAAGGGGAAGGCTCTATTTGGTGTTGAGTGACTACATGAATCTTGGTTGATTCTCACAATAAGGCAGGTGAGGTAGGCGAGGCTGGGTATTTTGCCCCCTTTTCTAGATGGGGACACTGAGGTTTGGAGAGGGGAGGTGATTTGTTCAAGATCACACTGTCCATTGGTGGCAGAGTCCTGGAGCGGTGGCTCACACTGCCCATGGTGCTCTGAGTGGAGATGGTGAATGCTGATGGCTCAGATGTGTACAGCCCAACTGCATCCAGCACTGCACTCAGTGCCCCAGGGGGGATGAACTCATTGAACTCTTAACAGCCCAGCAATGATGTAGGTACCATCCTTATCCCCATTTTGCAGATGAGGAGACTGATGATCAGGGAGGGCATTTAACTTGCCCAAGGCTTCCCCAGCTTGTAAGTGGCAGAACCGACATGTGAACCCAGGTCAGTTTCCAGGGGACCAAACAAGGTGCCCGGTGACAGTTGACTTTGGCCGCCAATCATGCCTCAATATAGCGGAAGAACTGGCCTGGAGCCGGGGATCTTGGTTGGTCCCAGTCTTTGGCTCTGTGGCTAATTGCACATGTGACCTCCTGGCCACCATTTGCTCATCTACAACACAAGCACACTGGACTCGATGATCCCTGTGCTTCCCCGCATTCAGCTGTAGGTTGCAGCAGGTGGCTTTTGAGAAACACTCTGATCTGTGACACCCCAGATCTACAGGCCGAGTGCAGGTGAAGGTGTCCACCAGTCAGCCTCTTACGCCCCAGCAGCCACACTTGGCCTGTCCCCATCAGTTTAATTATCTCTGAATTTGCAAAAGGACATTGCGCCACTTGCTGAAGGGCCCCTGACCACCCCCTCTTTGTCCCGATACTGTTGCTTCTCTTTCCTGCCTGGGCTGACCTGTGTGTCCAGCTGGCCATTCGTGCCCAGTATAGCCAAACACAAGTTGTGCTGAGTCTCACCCTCCCTTCTGGACAGGCGTCTGACAGATGAACCCCTTGGAACATCTGTCGATGCTGTTTTCCTGTCTACCCAGGGCTGTTGTGATTACAGGACTGTTTAAAGCCTGTACCAGAGATGGAGAGTTGGGCAAGAGGGCAATTGCATGAGCAGTGAAGTAGGGCTAAGTACAGAAATGTGGCAAGCTGGAGGGAGGTGGTCCTCAAGCCCACGAAGCCCCTGGGAGCACAGATAGCCTCTTAACTACCTAAGCTTGAGGTCAGGAGAAGGCTGAGTGAGGACCTTTGAAATGGCTTAAATTTATGGGTGACAGATAAAGGCATGCTGCACTGCCAACTTGGGGGAACGCTCACCCATGTCGGAGTGCTGGCCGGTCCAAGCCCCACCCCCATGGCCTGATGCACGCCACCAGCCTCCCGCTGAAAGGTGACACTCTGCCAGCTGGGTTCCCTTAGTCACCCTGTGGGCGCCTGTCAGCCTCACTCAAGAATGGAGCTGGTGGCTGCATCCCCAGTGACGGTAAGTGGCAACAAGTGCTGGGGAGTTAATCTTGGTGGGAGGAAAAATCCAAGCATGGATGGGGATTGCTGGATGCTGACATTCTGTCCCCTCTGTCCTTTAAAAACCTCACCAGGCATGGGGATGAGTGTGCTGTGGGTTGTGGAGGGACTGGAAAACAGACTCCTGACTCCCGTCCTTGCCCTGCCCTTGCCTGGTGACTGGCCAGCACTTACCAGGACTGAGCAGTTTCTCGTGTTCATTGTGGTGAAGGCCACGATCACTCTTTCAACAGGCAGCTGTTGCTTGGGTTAGGTTTGCAAGACATAAAAATAGCTTTGTCTGGCATCTGGTTTTCGGGTCCGCTGGGTTATTTCAGCGAAGGGCAGCAGCTTGTCATGATAGCGTCCACAGAGGTTCACTGGAAGGGCTCGTCTGGCCTTCCCTGCTCATGGAATCAAACTGCGTGATCGGTGCTCATTCTTGACCACGGCCCCCCCACGCCACCGTCTGGCACCGTTAGTTTGCATGTCGATCTGCGGCTGTGTCTTAAAGGTACACAGCCAGGTGTCTGTCTGTTTTTAGGATCATATCTACGCACTCCTTGTACCACCTGCTGCCTTATGGAATTTACTTATCTCCACTGCAGTGGTGGGACAGTGGAAAAGGTATGAGCAAGGGAAAGTTACTGATCCACAGTTTACCAAGCTGTAAAATGGAAGTCAAATAGTGACAATGACAATAATAACATCCATTGGGTTGTTCCTTTTTTTTTTTGAGATGGAGTCTCACTCTGTCACCCAGGCTGGAGTGCAGTGGTATGATCTCAGCTCACTGCAACCTCTGCCTCCTGGGTTTAGGTGATTCTCCTGCCTCAGCCTCCCAAGTAGCTGGGATTACAGGCGTGCACCACCACGCCCAGCTAATTTTTGTATTTTTTAGTAGAATGAGGTTTCACCTTGTTGGCCAGGCTGGTCTCAAACTTCTGACTTCAGGTGATCCACCTGCCTCAGCCTCCCAAAGTGCTGGGATTACAGGTGTGAGCCATCACGCCCGGTCCCATGGAGGTGTTTTAAGGATTGGAGGGAGGTGGTGGTGAGGGTCTTGGGAGCTTGAAGACACTCCACAAATTTGATGGCTTGTATGTGTGGTTGCTATATAGGTACAGATGTTATGCAGAGAGCAGCAGTGAGGTGAATGGGGTGAGAATTCGTATCCCCATTTTATAGATGAGGAAACTGAGGCTCAGAGAGTTTCTTCTGTAGCTTTCTCAAACAGTCCTCCGATTTGTCTCTGTGTATTCACTTGGGAAAAGTTCTTGTGTGGGGTGACCTTTGGGTCCCACGTCATTATTCCGCAAAGAAAAGGGAAAGGCTGTGAGGTTTTTCATGTAGGTAACCCTGGCAAGGAAGGTTTGGGGGATTAGATCCAACAGAATAACAGATTGTAAAGGATTTGCAGAGTGAGAGAAGGGCTGAACTGGGGAGAAGAGCTGGCCACTGCATTCGTCAGAGCCTCCGCTGTACAACTTGCAGCTTTACCTGCCATCCCTCTATCACCTGCCGTGCGTGTGTCTAACCATCTTGCCCATTGACTCATCCACTCACCTTCTCTCTCCACACACCACCTACTCATCCTTCTATCCGTAGTTAATCAGCCATCCATTTGTCCAGCCAGCCAGGATTTTCTAAGCAAGTTCCTGAAGAACTTATATCATGTAAAACTTGCATAATTTGATTGGCTTTCCAACAGGAATCAATGTAAACAATGTATTCTCACACCTCATAATTCACAACCATTGTAGCACACTTTTGTCTTTATGCTGCACTTCTCTTTCTCTCTCTCTCTCTCTCTCTCTCTCGTTGCCCAGGCTGGAGTGCAGTGGCGTGATCTTGGCTCACTGCAACCTCCCCCTCCTGAGCTCAAGCAATTCTCCTGCCTCAGCCTCCTGAGTACCTGGGACTACAGGCACACACCACTGCCCATGGCTAATTTTTATATTTTTTGTGGAGACGGGGTTTCGCCATGTTGCCCAGGCAGGTTGTAAACTCCTGAGCTCAAGAGATCTGCCCACCTTGGCCTCTGAAAGTGCTGGGGTTACAGGCATGAGCCACCGTGCCTGGCCTTGATGCTGCACTTTTCTAAGCAATAATTCAAGTATTTTTTAACTGGGGTAGAGGGATGCCCACCCTATCAATTTTATGCACCTGCTGTTTCTTATATCTCACAATTTCAAATGCACACATTTAAAATTTGCCTAAGATTGGTCGCATTTGTATGAGTTGTTCTCTTCAGCCCTTTCTTTCAAAACTGTCATGGAGATACTTGGCTCATTCTCTTGGTGTTCCTGAATGCAGTTTCAGAAATGAAAACTTTAAAAATCAAAATTCCAGCTTGGTTCAAGACATTGGTTGGTGCTCAATGTGTGTGCATATATATATATATATATATATATATATTTTTTTTTTTTTTTTTTTCATTTTTTCAGCACACAGGTTTTTTTTTTTTCATTTGTTTTGTTTTGTTTTTTTGAGACAGGATCTCACTTGGTTGCCCAGGCTGGAGTGCATTGGTGCCATCATGGCTCACTGTAGTCTTGATGTCCCAGGCTCAAGTGAGCCTCCCGCCTTGGCCTCCCAAAGTGTTGGGATTACAGACGTAGCCATTGCCCCCAGCTTACACACAGTTTTTGAGCTCTTACTCTGTGCCAAGCACCAAGCTGGGTACAAGGATCCAAAATGAATGACACTTGGTCTATGTCCCCAAGCACCACCCAGTCGGTCAGGGAGAACAGACAACCGAACAAGCCACTTCCATGCCATGTTTTCTGTGTCATCATGATGGAAGTCTGTACCCAGGCCTCCCAGGCCAGGATGGACTGGGCAAAGAGCCCCAAGGGAGTGGACTGCCGAATTTCTAAAGCATTTGGCCACTGTGGCCAGCAGAGGGCATGAGAGGGAGTGGCCATTCAGCAGGGGTCAGGTTTAGAGGGCCCCGTATGCCCTCCTTTCCTGGGGAGGATGTAGGATTTAATCTGTTGGGCCTCTGGGGAAGCCGGGATAGCTTTTGCAACATTTTTGGCAATGTTCTCTGGCTGTTGTTAATTTCAAAATTTTTCCTGAGGGCATGTGTGAGCCAGCTGTTTCAGGACTCGGACCTTTCTTGCAGACAATTTTAAAGATTTTCTTGAGAATTTACTATGCACAAGAGAAATAGTAATAGTATGAAATAGACTTTGTCCCCAGAGGTTCCTAGCTCACCATTCAGAGGCAAAAGGAGACGGGAAGGCAAGGACTAGGCAGAGGAGTTGAGACCAGAGATTCACAACCAAAGGGCAGTTTTGCCTCCCATGGGACATTTGTCAATGTCTGGAGATGTTTTGGTTGTCCCAGCTGATGGAGGTAGATGCTACTGGCATCAAACAGGCAGAGGTCAAGGGTGTTGCTCTACATACTATAATGCACAGGACAGCCCCCACCACAAAGAATTTTCCAACCCTAAATATCAGTAGTGCCATGGTTGAGAAATCCTGGGGTAAGAACAAGGCTTGGGCATCAGAAAGATACCCATAGTACTGCTATGTATTTGTTTGAGTCGTTGTTTTCAATTCTTTTGGGATATACCTAGGAGTGAGATTGCTGGATCATATGATAATTCTATGTTCAACTTTTTAAGGAACCACCAGACTTTTTTCCACAACGGCTACAACATTTTAAATTCCTACTGGCAATGGTTAAGAGTTCCAATTTCTGTACCTCTTCACCAACACTTGTTATTCTCTCTCTCTCTCTTTTGGGTTATAGCCATCCCAGTGCATGTGAAGTGGTATCTCACTGTGATTATATGATTTGCATTTTCCTGACACCTAAGCATGTTGAATATCTTTTCATCTATTTATTGACCATTTGTATATCTTCATTGGAGCAATGTCTATCCGAGTCTTTTGTCCACTTAAAAATTGGGTTGTCTTTTTGTTGTTGAGTTTTAGGAGTTCTTTATACATTCTGGGCACTAGACTCTTATTAGATATATGGTTTGCAAGTGGTCCTCCCATTCTGTAGGTTATCTTTTCACTTTCTTGATAGCATCCTATGATTCACGAAAGCTTTTAATCTTGATGAAGTCCAATTTACCTATTTTTTCTTATGGTAAATTGGACTTCATCAAGAAGCATCCAATGCTTGTGGTGTCATATCTAAGAATCAATTGACAAATCCAAGGTCATGATGAATTACTTCTATGTTTTCTTCTAAGAGGTTTGTGGTTTTAGCTTTTATATTTAGGTCTTTGATCCATTTTGAGTTAATGATTGTATGTGGTATGAAGTAGGGGTCCAACTTTTTATTCTTGTGCATGTGGAAATCCAGTTGTTCCAGCACCATGTGGTGTTAAAGAGGTAATACTTTTTTTTTTTTTTTTTTTGAGACGGAGTCTTGCTCTGTCGCCCAGGCTGGAGTGCAGTGGTGCGATCTCGGCTCACTGCAAGCTCTGCCTCCCGGGTTCACGCCATTCTCCTTCCTCAGTCTCCCAAGTAGCTGGGACTACAGGTGCCTGCCACCATGCCTGGCTAAATTTTTTTGTATTTTTAGTAGAGATGGGGTTTCACCATGTTAGCCAGGATAGTCTTGATCTCCTGACCTCGTGATCCACCTGCTTCAGCCTCCCAAAGTGCTGGGATTACAGGCATGAGCCACCATGCCTGGCCTGAAGAGATCATTCTTTCTCCATTGGATGGTCTTGATATCCATGTCAAAAATAGATTGACCATAGATGTATAGGTTTCTATTCCATTGATCTATATGTCTATCTTATGCCAAATACCATGCTGTTTTGTTTACCATAGCTTTGTAGTAAGTTTTTAAATTGGGAAATGTGAATCTTCAAACATATTTTTTAAGATTGTTTTGGCTGATTGGGGCCTCTTGAAATTCCATATAAATCTGTATATTCCTTTGGATAATATGGACATCTTAACAATAAGTCTTCCAATCCATGAGCAAGGTATGTCTTTCCATTTATTTAATTCTTCTTTAATTTCTTTTAGTAATGTTTTGTAGTTTTCAGTGTGCAGGTCTTTCACTTCTTTGGTTAAATTTATTCCTAGGTAGGAAACAAGTGTGATAGGCAATAATAGAAAAAGGAAACATTGAAATTAAACATATTTATTTCTAGGTGTTTTATTCTTTTGAATGCTATTATAAATGGAATTGTTTTCTTAATTTCTTTTTCAGATTATTTACCACTGGTGTATAGAAACACAACTATTTTTGTGTATTTATCTTGTATCCTGCAACTTTGCTTAATTATTTTTATTACCTCTACAATACCAAGGTTTTCTGTGTGTGTATTATCTGGCACTTTCTACATATAGGACCATGTAATCTGTGAATAGGGGTGGCTTTACTTCTTCCTTCCTAATCTCTATGTCTTTTATTTCATTTTATTGTCTAATTGGTTTGTCTAGAACTTCCAGTACAGTGTTGAATAGCACTGGTGAAAGTGGGCATCCTTGTCTTATTCCTGGTTAAAGCTATCAGCCTTTCCCCATTTAGTATGATGTTAGCTGTGGATTTTTCATAAATGTACTTTATTAAGTTGCAGTTCCCTTCTGTTCCTAATTTTCTGAATGTTGTTATCATGAAAGGGTGTTGGATTTTGTCAAATGCTTTTCCTGCATCAATTGGGATGATCATGTGGTTTTTTTCCCTTTGTTCCATTAATGTGGCATGTTACATTGACATTGAGCCACCCTTGACTGACTTTTCTTTAAAAAAAACACATGATGATCTTGAAAGGAAAAAACCCCTCTGACCCTGTGTACTACCTAGAAAATAGCCTTGGCAACATATCAGCAAATTCTGCTGCTGAAAGTGTGTAAGAAGTACTTGGATTGTTTAGTTCTGGGAAATATTGAGAACTTTTCCACTTCCTTTAAAAACATTGTGTTGAAATTTAAAAAGAAAAAGCTTTATGGCAGGGCACAGTGTCTCACGCCTGTAATCCTAGCACTTTGGGAGGCAGAGGTGGGCGGATCACTTGAGGTCAGGAGTTAGACACCAGCCTAGCCAACATGGTGAAACCCCATCTTTACAAAAAATACAAAAATTAGCCGGGCATGGTGGGGGGCACCTGTAATCCCAGCTACTAGGGAGGCTGAGGCTCAAGAATCTCTTGAACCCAGGAGGCAGAGGTTGCAGTGAGCTGAGATTACGCCACTATGCTCCCACCTGGGCGACAGGGTCAGATTCTGACTCAAAAAAAAAAAAAGGATTTTTAGATACCAAATTGACCTGCTGAGCTTTGTGGTCCACTTTTGTAATGCTTCTAGTATATAATTGTGGCAAAATTGGTTCAGAAATTTCAACACATAGAGAGAGGTCCCATTTAAAAATTTTTTTTGAAATAGGGTCTCACTCTGTTGTCCAGGCTGGAGTGCAGTGGTGCCATCTTAGCTCATTTCAACCTCTGCCTCCTGGGCTTTTCTTTTCTTTTTCTTTTTTTTTTTGTTTTTGAGACCAAGTCTCACTCTGTTGCCCGGGCTGGAATGCAGTTGCATGATCTCAGCTCACTGCAACCTCCACCTCCAGGTTCAAGTGATTCTCATGCCTCAGACTCCCGAGTAGCTGGAATTACAGGCACCCACCTCCATGCCCAGCTAATTTTTGTATTTTTATTTTTAGTACAGACAGGGCTTCACCATGTTGGCCAGGCTGGTCTCAAACTCCCAACCTCAGGTGATCTGCCCGCCTCAGCCTCCCAAAGTGCTGGGATTACAGGCATGAGCCACCGCACTGGGCTCATTTTTAAAACAAGATTTCCTTCAAATAACAATGATCTACTCATTAGTAGGGCAGAGTTAGGGTGATAGAAAGAGGTGTGGCTTAGAGATTGGAATACCTGGGTTCATTCTTTCAATACACACTTGTAAGCCCTCATTGCATACCAGGCACTGGTCTAGACCCTGCAACAGAAAACAGTCTCCCGAGGCTTGTTGGGCTTCTATGCTAGTTGTAAGCATACCCCACACTGGGGATGATGGCGCCCTTCCTCCCTCCAGGGCCATGATGGTGACTGACTATATGATAATAATACTAGAATGATGATGATGATGACAGAAGCAACAATTCCCTTTCATTTATAAAGTGGAATATAATTAAGAGTCTTTAAAAAAAAAAAATAACAGCTTTGGCTGGGCGCGGTGGGTCACGTCTGTAATCCTAGCACTTTGGGAAGCCAAGGTCAGGAGTTAGAGAGCAACCTGGTCAACATGGTGAAATTCTGTCTCCACAAAAATACAAAAATTAGCTAGGCATGGTGGTGCATGCCTGTAGCCCAAGCTACTCAGGAGGCTGAGGCAGAATTGCTTGAACCCAGGAGGCGGAGTTTGCAGTGAGCAGAGATTGCGGCACTGCACTCCAGCCTGGGCAACAAAGGGAGACTGCATCTCAAAACAAAAAAACAAAAAAACCCCAGCTTTATTGAGAGATAATTCACATGGCATACAATCCACTCATGTAAAGGACAAGTCAATGTTTTTTAACTGTATTCACAGAGCTGTACAACCATCACCTCAATCTGCTTTAGAACATTTTCATCATCCCAAACAGAAACCCTACACTCTGTAGCCATCATCCCCATCCCACTAGGTCCTGGCAACCACTAATCTGTTTTCTGTCTCTCAAGATTGGCCTGTTCTGCACACTTCATATACTTGGAATCGTATAATATGTGACCTTTTGTGATTGGCTTCTTTAACTTAGCAGTTTTCAAGGTTCTTCCTTGAACCTTGGCAGGAAACTAAGATCCAGAGGGGTGAAGGAATATGTCCAAGCCTGTTTCAGGCAGAGCAGGGAGGAGAACCCCATCTCTCCCCTCGTCCAGTATTTCAGGAATACACAGCACCCCAACAGCCTCCTGCCCCACTAGCTTCTTTAGGAGAGAAATCACTTGATTATGTAAATCCTAAAATGTCTCTCCTTTTCTCCTTACAGATTTTCTGAATGGTCTTGCTTCTTTGTCTATCTTGTCTGATTTTCTCCTGTCTGACCTTTTCCTGGTTAAAAATCTGGGGGAAAATGACGGACTCCAAGCCGATCACCAAGAGTAAATCAGAAGCAAACCTCATCCCGAGCCAGGAGCCCTTTCCAGCCTCTGATAACTCAGGGGAGACACCGCAGAGAAATGGGGAGGGCCACACTCTGCCCAAGACACCCAGCCAGGCCGAGCCAGCCTCCCACAAAGGCCCCAAAGATGCCGGTCGGCGGAGAAACTCCCTACCACCCTCCCACCAGAAGCCCCCAAGAAACCCCCTTTCTTCCAGTGACGCAGCACCCTCCCCAGAGCTTCAAGCCAACGGGACTGGGACACAAGGTCTGGAGGCCACAGATACCAATGGCCTGTCCTCCTCAGCCAGGCCCCAGGGCCAGCAAGCTGGCTCCCCCTCCAAAGAAGACAAGAAGCAGGCAAACATCAAGAGGCAGCTGATGACCAACTTCATCCTGGGCTCTTTTGATGACTACTCCTCCGACGAGGACTCTGTTGCTGGCTCATCTCGTGAGTCTACCCGGAAGGGCAGCCGGGCCAGCTTGGGGGCCCTGTCCCTGGAGGCTTATCTGACCACAGGTGAAGCTGAGACCCGCGTCCCCACTATGAGGTAATGTGCATTTTCTCCTTGTAACTGAGGAGTGCAGAGTTCAGGTGGGGTCCACACCCTTCCCAACCTGTGCCCACCTTGATCAAGCTGTTTGCTGATGCCAAAGCTTCAAGGGTGGCTATGCACAAAAGGAGAAGACACGAGCCTTCTCAGAAGTTTCCTTCCTTCCTTCCTTCCTTCCTTCCTTCCTTCCTTCCATCCTTCCTTCCTTCTTTCCTTCCTTCCTTCCTTCCTTCCTTCCTTCCTTCCTTCCTTCCTTCCTTCCTTCCTTCCTTCCTTCCTTCCTTCCTTCCCTCCTTTCAAAATCATTCCTTGAGGCTGGGCACAGTGGCTCATGCCTGTAATCCCAGCACTTTGGGAGGCCAAGGCAGGCAGATCACTTGAGGTCGGGAGTTTAAGACTAGCCTGGCCAACATGGTGAAACTCCGTTTCTACTAAAAATACAAAAATTCACCAGGCATGCAGGCGTGTGCCTGTAATCCCAGCTGCTTGGAAGGCTGAGGCGGGAGAATCTCTTGAACCCAGGAAGTGGAGGTTGCAGTGAGCTGAGATCACGTCACTGCACTCCAGCCTGGGTGACAGGGCGAGACCTTGTCTCAAAAAAGGAAAAAAGGAAAGAAATCATTCCTTGTGCATCTACTGCATGCACAGGGCTCGATGCCATGAAACTGACTTTCTAGAAGACCTCAGCCTAGTTGGGGAAGATGACCTTGTGTTTAGTTATAATTTAAGCTGAATGAGCCAAGGCTGGCAAGAGCCACAAGTGATGATGGTAGTCTAGAGGGAGGGGCAGTTCTCTCTGCCTCCTGAAGAGACATTGATTCATTCATTCTTTTTTTTTTTTTTTTTTTTTTTTGAGACAGGGTCTTACTCTGTCACTCTGTTAGCTGAGTGTACTGGTAGGATCATAGCTCACTACAACCTCAAACTCCCGGGCTCAAGCAATCCTCCCACCTCAGTGCACTCCTGGGTAGCTGGGACTACAGGTGTGCACCACCACACCTAGCTAATTTTTAAATTTTTTATAGAAATGGGAATCTCACCATATTGCCCAGGCTGGTCTCCAACTCCTGGACTCAAGCGATCCTCGGTCTCCCAAAGTGCTGGGATTACAGGCATGAGCCACCACACCCAGCCCATTCATTCATTCATTCATTCAGCAGGTAACTGACAACTGAAAAACCAGCCTTCCCCCAGTGATGCCTGAAAAGCAGAAACTCAAACACTCTAAAGGTCTCCATCAATTTGATTGTTGGAAATGAATGCCTGTAGGTTCATAACAGGTGGGACTATCCCAGCGGCTGCAGTCAGTGGCTTTGTTGTTGATGTTGTTGTTATCCACCTTCTCCTCTGCCATCCCCAAATTACAAATGGAATACAGCACTTCCAGGTAGAAAATTTGGGAAATATAGGAGAACAGAGAGAAGAAAAGAGCCACCAACCAAAACTTCACCAGCCAGAGGGAAACCTCTGTTCTCATTGTTCTACTTCTTCCTTCTAGTGTGTTTTTCTCCTCTGGAGTGAAGTTTTACTGGCTATTCTTTTAAGCATCTCCTGTACTCTCTCCCAAATTAGAAAAATCTAGAGGTGGTCTTCCATACATGTCCATGTTAGCAGTGAGCTTGGTTTTAACCCTGGTAGCTGGAAGTAGAAGACAGAGAAAAAGGAGGAGGAAAGTATTCCATATACTGAAACTTTTCAGGGGAAGAGTGTTTGAGTTTCTAGAAGGGTTAAGGGAAGAGAAAGTCTCAGAATCTAGTACAAAGAGCACAGTCTGTGGAGTCAGCTGGAGTGGGGTTCAGTCTTTGGCTCTGCCACCCCCTACTGTGTGACCTTGGGCATGACCCTTCACCTCTCCAGGCCCCAGTACCTCTGTAAAATGTGGAAGGGATTAAATGGGATAATGTAGGCAGGCATGGTGGCTCACACCTGTAATTCCAGCACTTTGGGAGGATGAGGCAGGAGGATCGCTTGAGGCCAGGAGTTCAAGACCAGCCTGGGCAATATAGTGAGACCTCATCTCTAAAAAAAAAATTAAGAATTTGCCAGACATTGTGGTGCATACCTATAGTTCTAGCTACTTGAGAGGCTGAAGCAGGAGGGTCACTTGAGCCCAGAAGTTTGTGGTTATAGTGAGCTATAATTGTGCCACTGCACTCCAGCCTGGGCAACAGAGCAAGACTCTGTCTCAAAATAAAAAAACAAAAAAGAATGTATCAAACCAACAAACTTATAACATGATTATTATTATTACTATTTCCTGAGTCTTGGATGCCAAAATAGTCGTGAAGATTAAATGAACTAATATTTCTCAGGTACTTGGCAAGAGAATAAAGCATCCATATTTGGTAGATAATAAATAGAAAGGGGGGCAAGTCTCCCACCTTTCCACCCACTGTCTTCCTGCCACCATTTTGAGGGGTCTTTACTGGTTTGAGCTTAAACCAAGGTTTTTCTGAGCTGGTACATTTATAAAGGCGAAAACTATCTCTCTCTTTCTCTTTCTTTCTTCTTTTTTTATTTTTTTGGACAGAGTCTCACTCTGTCACCCAGGCTGGAGTGCAGTGGCATGATCTTGGCTCACAGCAACCTCTGCCTCCCGGGTTCAAGCAATTCTCCTGCTTCAGCCTCCCAAGTAGCTGGAATTATGGGCGTGTGCCACCACACCTGGCTAATTTTTGTATTTTTAGTAGAGACGGGGTTTCACCATGTTGGCCAGTCTGGTCTTGAACTCCTGACCTCAAGTGATCCACCCGCCTTGGCCTCCCAAAGTGCTGGAATTACAGGCATGAGCCATCACGTCTAGCCTACTTAACTATCTTTCATAGGGAAAATGAAACCAAAATGTTGAGTGAATTTCCTGCCCTCGTGTCTTCATGGCATAGAAACCTAACATTGTAGATCAATCTTTTATCCTTACTTTGTCCCAGCAAACAGCTGGCAGGAGGGACAGAGGGATCTTGGAAAGGCAGTGAATGTGGAGCTGAATGACATTGTAGGATTGTGGGCGATTCAAAGGCTATGATATGGTGAACGAAGGAGTGATGTGCTGCATGAACTTGGGTGAGTCCCTTCCCCTCTCTGAGTCTCCAATTTATCATCTTTAGAATGAGGAGGCTGAGGCTGGGCCTGATGGCTCATACCTGTAATTCCAGCACTTTGGGTGGCCGAGGTGGGTGGATTGCTTGAGCTCAGGAGTTCAAGACCAGCCTGGGCAACATGGCAAAACCTCATCTCTACAAAAAAATATAAAAATTAGCCAGTTGTGGTGGTATGCACCTATAGTCCCAGCTACTAGGGAGGCTGAGGTGGGAGAATCACTTAAGCCCAGGAGGCAGAGGTTGCAGTGAGCTGAGATTGCCCCACTGCATCCCAGCCTGGGTGACACAGGCAGACCCTGTCTCAAAAAAAAAAAAAAAAAAAAAATGAATGAGGAGGCTGCACCAGACTCCTGAGATGTGACCTGTGGCCCTAAAGCTCACTGACATACAGTTAGTTATTTTGTCCCCGGTATGTGTGCATTTTCAGAGTTGAGAATTTAGAATTTTAGCACCCAGGGGCAATGCGGGTGGTTCTGCTGGCACCTCCTGAGACACTGGCACTTCCTCAAGGAACATTCCCAGCCCCAGAATCAGGGGCTTCTGACAGAGAAGACTCATGTGTGCTTGTTGTTTCTAATGAACTGTAGTGAGAATCCCACATCAAAGAATCTTCAGGGAGTCAAGCCTTAGACATGTGTGCTGGTGCCTGCTGCCTCTGGTGTTTGACTGGATGAAAAAATTATGTCCAAACCTGGTGTTCCAGCCTGTTGGAAACAACGCATATCAAAATGAGGCTGAGGTCCAGCATGGTGACTCACGCGTTTGGGGAGACTGAGGTGGGAGGATCCCTTGAGCCCAGAAGTTTGAGAGCAGCCTGGGCAACATAATGAGACCCTGTCTCTACAAAAAATAAAAATAAAAAATAAAATGAGGCCAGGTAAGGTGGCTCACACCTGTAATCCTAGTACTTTGGGAGGCTGAGGTGGGTGGATTGCCTGAGCTCAGGAGTTCAAGACCAGCCTGGGCAACATGGTGAAACCCCATCTCTATTAAACTACAAAAAATTAGCCAGGCATGGTGGTGCACGCCTGTAGTCCCAGCTACTCAGGAGGCTGAAGTGGGAGAATCGCCTGAACTCAGGAGGTGGAGGTTGCAGTGAGCTGAGATCACGCCACTACACTCCAGCATGGGCAACAGAGTGAGACTCTGTCTCAATAAATAAATAAATAAATAAAATGAGGCTGAGCATTTTATTATCTTGTAGAGCTTTTGGCTTTGGATTTTGGCATCTTTGGGATCCGTGGTAGCCTGGTGTTTGCTGGTTACCCATTGACTCTTTTGCACACATACAGGCAGGGTAGTAATACCTCTTCCCTGGTGTTCACAGGTCAACACCCAAGCAGTTTTGGGTGTAGGCCATGGAAGGTGGTGTCAAAAGACAAAATCACAGCAAATTTGATTTAAAACTCGAATTGGCTTTTATTTACAATTCTAGGATCATGCAGCACCTCATTCTGTAAAATAGAATGGGTCTTCCGAAGAGCTGAGCAGAGAGGAGCTTGGCTTTATAGGCAGAACAGGGCTGAAGAAAGCAGAAACAAGGGACAAAGGGGAGCTTCATAGTTTCTTTCTTTTTCTTTTTCTTTCTTTCTTTCTTTTTTTTTTTTTTTTTTGAGACAGAGTCTTGCTCTGTCACCCAGGCTGGAGGCTGGAGTGCAATGGCACAATCTCGGCTCACTGCAACCTCTGCCTCCCGGGTTCAAGTGATTCTTCTGCTTCAGCCTCCTGAGTATCTGGGACTACAGGCACATGCCACCATGCCTGGCTAATTTTTTATATTTTTAGTAGAGATGGGGTTTCACCATATTAGCTAGGCTGGTCTCCATCTCCTGACGTCGTGATCCACCTGTCTAGGCCTCCCAAAGTGCTGGGATTACAGGCGTGAGCCACTGCGCCCGGCCCGCTTCATAGTTTCAAAATGACTTTCCCTTCAGGGTTAAAACAAATGCAACTTTCTTATCATGTTGGCTCAGGTACACTGGACCCCTTCTGATTGGTTGCTATTGTTTTTTGGAAAACTGGTCAGTTTCAAAGTTCAGACTGATTGCGAGGCAGTTGGCCAGGAGTGATCCGTCGTTTTGGTTTGGTCTGTAGGGGCTAAGCACAGGAGCTCAGCTCAAAATCATGGCCTCCCATATATTAAAATTTTGTTTTAATTTTTTAGATTTGGGGGGTACAAGTTCAGTTTTGTCACTTGGATATAATTCCCAGTGGTGAAGCCTGGGCTTTTACGAGCCATTGCTTGCATAGTGTACATTGTATCTATTAGGTAATTTGTCATTCCTTACCCCTTCCCACCATGCCACCTTTCCAAATCTCCAGTATCTATTATTCTACTCTTTAGGTCCATGTGTACACTTTATTTAGCTCCACTTATAAGTGAGAACAAGCATAAATTATATTTAAGGGTGGTGCATGCAGGCCAGCCAGCCAGTTGCCTGTAACCAGCTGGAGCACTGAGGAAAGGAAGCCTGACCCAAAAAGGCAAATACAGTGAGCAAGAATCCCTGTTAGCTGAATCCAGGAACTCCTTCTGAAAAAAAATATTATTTTTCTTGAGGCCAGGCACGGCAGGTCATGCCTGTAATCCCAGCACTTTGGGAGGCCGAGGGGGGCGGATCACAAGGTCAGGAGTTTGAGACCAGCCTGGCCAACACGGCAAAACCCCATCTCTACTAAAAAAAAAAAAAAATAGAAAAATTAGCTGGGCGTGGTGGCAGGTGCCTGTAATCCCAGCTCTTCAGGAGGCTGAGTTAGGAGAATCACTTGAACCTGGGAGGCAGAGGTTGCAGTGAGCCAAGACCACGCCACTGCACTCCAGCCTGGGCAACAGAGTGAGACTCTGACTCGAAAAAAAAATTATTATTATTTTTTCTTGATAAGTTGCTAAATAATCTGTATCCTCTGGCAAATCTTCTAACCGTTTGAGGTCCTGTTTCTGCAAAATGGAAGCAGGGGCTAGAGGTTTAAGCTAGTCCTTCCAGACAGGATCCAACCCTTGCCCCATTTCCAAGACAAACAACTAAGGCCTGGGAGAAGAGGCCAGGGGTATTTATTTGAGGGTTCTGACTCACGTGGAAGCCACAGTGAAGAAGTGACTTGTATTTGTGGATCTGCTTCTGCTCTCTGCAGTTTCCTTGGGCAGTCACTTCACTGCTGCTCTGCCCTGGAAGGCCACTTCCTACATTCACCTCTTCCTGCCAGGCCAGTAGCTGGGAGACTGGCAAGGCAAGGATGGAAAATGCTTGTGTTAAGTCTGTGATTTGGGAGGAAGCTCTTTCTGAAGCAGTCTTCAAGGGGCTGTCTCCTTCCTGCAGTGCCCAGAGCATCCCAGAGTTCTCACAACTGTGTTCCTGTTTTGGGAGTTCGCACTGGGTTCCCTCTGAACTGAAACACTCTCTTTCTCCCAACCCCTGAACCCAGACCTCCCACCAGGGCCAGCTTCACAGGCATGCCCTGTGCTTCAAGGGACCCCGTGCTTGTTTTGACGCTTTGTTGTCGCCGTCTTGAGATTCTTTTTTATTTTGTTTTTTGAGACATGATCTTGCTCTGATACCCAGGCTGGAGTGCAGTAGCATGGTCATGGCTCACTGCAGCTTTGACTTCCTGGGCTCAAGTGATCCTCCCGTCTCAGCCTCCTGACTAGCTGGGACTACAGGCACGTGCCACCACAGCTGGCTAATTTTTTTATTTTTGGTAAAGATGAGGTTTTGCCATTTTGCTCAGGCTGGTCGGAATCTCATGAGCTCAAGCAATCTGCCCACCTCGGCCTCCCAAAGTACTGGGATTACAGGAATAAGCCACTGCACCCAGCCCCAAATTCACAATAATTTTTCAACAAGGGGCTCTGTGTTTTCATTTTGCACTGGGTCCTGCAAATTCTGTAGCCGGTCCTGCCTCTACTGCTAGCTCTTTGCCCATCAGAGTCACTTCCTCAAAGGGCCTTCCCTGTCCCTTTCTCACATTTAAAAAATCTACCCCCCAATTACCTTCAGTATCTTTATCAATCACTCTGATTAGTTGTCTTTGCAACATTTAATTATTTCTTGAGATTATGTCTGTTTTTGTTTGTTTGTTTGTTTGTTTGTTTTGACACAGTTTCACTCTGTCACCCAGGCTGGAGTGCTGTGGTGTGATCTCAGCTCACTGCAACCCCACAGGCTCAAGAAATCCTCCCACATCAGCCTCCTGAGAAGCTGGGACTACAGGCATGCATCACCATGTCTGGCTACTTTTTTTTTTTTTTTTTTTTTTTTAGTATTTTTAGTAGACACTGGGTTTCACCATGTTGGCTAGGCTGGTCTTGAACTCCTGAGTTCAAGCAATCCACCCACCTCGGCCTCCCAAAGTGCTGGGATTACAGGTGTGAACCTCCACAACCGGCTCCTAAAAGATTACGTCTTTTATTTTTTTATGATCTACTTGGTTATTACCTGTCTCCCTACACTGGAAGCAAGTTCCGTGAAGCCAGGGCCATAGTTATAGTGGTCTCTGTTTTTCCCCACTGCCTAGGCTGGTGCTGGCTCATGGTAGGCTTTGAATATCTGCTAAATACATGAATGAAATGAGCTGCAACAAGCTTGCCAAAGACAGAATTCTGCATTACGGGGGAATGTAAAACATGTGATGAATGAGTGTGGGAATGGATGAACGAATGGATGAATGAATGGATGAATGAATGAATGGATTAATTAATTAATTAACAGGTGAATAGGCATTTTATAGTTGTTGCTCTTTAGCAGCAGTAAATTTTTGTTTTCATAAAATTCTTTCTCCTTGTATCTTGTGACTTTGGAGACTAGTTCTGGGGTGAAACTCCAATTTTAAATTTTTCTTCTGTCTTTGATAGGATCATGCAAACTCAGCCTTTCTCTCCTTTCTCCCAGCTGGCAAGGGCTGGCTGAGAATATGAATCCAACAACCTCGTTAAGCTCTCTCCTCCCATCTCCTCCCCTTTGGGTTGATCTCAGGGCAGGGATTAGAACTTGGCCTTTCCTTGGACTTGGAAACAGTCCCTGAGGTTTGGAAATCCCATGCAACACTTAGAAACAGAGCTAATGAGAACATTACATGATGTGGCAAAATCACTGCTTACATGCTCTGAAATGAGCACGGTTACAAGAACCTCCTGTTCTGTGTGATCCCATTTTGTTGGACAAACAGCATGTGGTTAGTAGTGCATAGTGGGCCTATGATGAGACACTCAGGTTCAAAGCTACCTCTTCCTAGCTTGTACCCCGACTTAGTATGACCCTGTGGGGTGCGCATGTGGACTGAATGGAATGGGACAGGTTCAGGATTGCTGAGATTGCAGCTGGAATCCTGAAACTTAAAGCTATGAAATTGAAGTTCATAAATTAGTGGTGAACTCATTTGGCAGCAAAACCTGTCCTGAATTGATGTGAGGTTATGTATAGTAATTATTTATCCTATTCTGCTGCTGAAATATTAATATGATAATGTGGAACAGAAAGTTTTACCTTCCTAAAAACAATAATTTCCAAGTTCCAAAACATATCAGGCCCTGGGAATTTCAGATAAGGGATTATGGACTATATATAACATGCTTAGAATAGTTCCTGGCATATAGTAAGCACAAAAAATGCTTCTGCTTAGTAAATGTGCCTAATAAATGTGTGTGTGTGTATGCGTATGTGTTTGTATGTGTGTGTCTTAGAGGGACTGTAAAGAGTGTCTCCAAATAGTAAATAATCATTTTATGTGGTATGATTATGAGTGATTTAAATTTTCTTCTGCATTTTCTAACTTTCTGCTCTAAATGTCATTTTATAATGCATTTTAACAATGTATAATAATAAAACAGTATAAAAATATTGGGAGAAAGAGTAAACCAATCATCTCACTTCCTAGATAGGAAGCTGAAGCCCAGAGACATTCCAGGCCTCTCAGCAAGGTAATCAGAGGCCCAGAGCACCATTTGAACCCAGACCCTCGTTAGATGTGGATGTGAAATCAGTCAACGAACTGCTAGTATTAGTGTCACTGCCTAACCTTCCCCCAGCGGGTAAGAGGCTTGGACTCCAGGACGGGCACCTCCGTCCTCCTCCTAACTTGTTCTTTCTATTAGTGGGAAGGGTTGGGAGATTAGGGTAGTTTATGGATAACCTTTAAGTCGTATGAGCTTGAGGACATCATCTACCTTCTCAGGGGCCAGACTGGACACTCTGAGGTTCTTTGTGGCTCTAACAGTTGGTGGCTTTGTTCCTTTATATGTGGAGGAATGGACAGCAGGGAGGGGGCTGGGAGATAGAGAAGGAGAGTAGCTGGAAAATGGCAGAAAAGTTTGTTAATTTACAGGCAGGCTGAAGCGGGAGGATCGTTTGAGCCCAGGAGTTTGAGGCTGCAGTGAGCTATGATTGTGCCAGTGTACCCCAGCCTGAGCAACAGAGCAAGACCCTATCTCTCTTAAGGAAATTGTTAATTTAGAACCATTTTCTCCCTGGTAAATGACCACAGATAGTCTGGGTTCTAGGCAAGAGAGAGGACACACTAAGGGATGAAATGGTAGGTGGGGAAGTCAAGGTTTGTCCCATCCATTCGTTGGCCCAGGAGCAGTTATTGCAACCCCTCTGGGTGCCAGGCAGTCAGTTGGCACTACAGATGCAAAGATGGTGAGATACAGCCTCTGTCCTTAGGGAGACCAGGGCAAGGGGTCTGAGAGCCCACAGGCCAGGGCATTCCCCATCATTTTTACAGAGAGAGCTGTGGAATAGTTAAGAGCACAACACGCTGGTGGCTGAGGCTGGGGGCTGGTGTGCTGGCTTCTCCACCTAGCCATCATGTGACTTGGGGCCAAGTTCTGTGATTTTCTGTGCCTCAGTTTCCTCTGAAATGAAGTCATCGTGTTACCTCCCTCACAGGGTTGGGATCAGGCTTCATTGAGTTGCTGTAAGTACAGCACTCGAAGCAGCACCCATGGTGCGATCATGGTCATTAGATCCAGTGCACGGCATAAGAGCCCAGGACCCACAATCAGGTCTGGATTCAGACCTCTCCTGTTACCTGTCTGAGCTGCAATTTCCTGCTCTGTTGAGGCAGGATAATACTAGTGCCTACTTTAGGAGATTGTTGAGATCGAGTGGGAGCAAGTGCTGGGGGTGGACGGCCCAGAGGTGGTTCAGTAGCCATTAGTTGGGTGGGCTTCTTCCAAAGTTCTTGCCTGTGCGCATGGTTATTCCCAAGCCCTGGCCGGGCTTACATCTTAAAGGTGTAGCAACCTGTGTCCACGGAGGAGGAAGAGGATTGAAAAGGCAGGTGAAGTGTCCCGATAAAAGGATAAAGTCCAAAACAGCAGATGGGTGCTGAAGTGTTCCTTCCCGCCACCATTTACGACCATGTTGGGATCACTGAGGTAAGAACAGTTTAGCAAGGCAGACCTTGGATCCCAGGAAGGCAAATGAGGCTCTGTGGGGTCTGGACATACAGAGGGGGCCCTGCAGGCAAAGGTAGGTGAAGGAATACCAGGAAAGGGAGCTGACACCAGGGACCTGGCATCGCCCCCACTTTCCCAGATAGCAGACTGGGTGGGCTTGCAGTGCAGCCTCCCAGCTGCTTGTTCGTCATCCCAGCCCACATCTCTTATCGGCTCCAAGCAAGGAACAGGTCAGGAAACTAAATTGTCTATGCATATTTTTATGCGCCCCTGAGTGAAATGCCAAGGATCTTCCTGTAATGTTTAATTTATTCATTTATTGACTTAGGAAGGGGCTGGGAGAAACTCTCTTTTCAAGTCTCTTTAGCTCCTAAAATGTTTACTTTTTCTTTTTCTTTTTCTTTTTTTCTTTTCTTTTCTTTTTTCTTTCTTTTTTTTTTTTTTGAGACGGAGTCTCGCTCTGTAGCTCAGGCTGGAGTGCAGTGGCACAATTTCAGCTCACTGCAACCTCTACCGCCCGGGTCCCGGTTCAAGCAATTCTCCTGCCTCAGCCTCCCGAGTAGCTGGGATTACAGGCATGCACCACCATGCCCAGCTAATTTTTGTATTTTTAATAGAGACAGGGTTTCACCATGTTGTCCAGGCTGGTCTTGAACTCCTGACCTCATGATCTGCCCTCCTTGGCCTCCCAAAGTGCTGGGATTACAGGTGTGAGCCACTGCGCCCGGCCTCCTAAAATGTTTTCTAGGAGCTTGGGGGAAAGAGGATCCCTGTCTTTGAGTTGTTCTTGTATTAAGTTAATACAAGGTACAGAGCAACTAACCATTCATACATTCCCCTCCCCCTTAAGCATCATTGCCCTATTTTAGAAAAATTATTCACTTCTGCTCTATACTTAATGTAACACAGTCCCCCCCACCCCATATATTGAAAGAGATTATTTCATTTTGCTTTTCTGCAAAAATGAAGGCAAATTGTATGTGGATAATTTTATAGTTGAGGAAGTGGAGAGACGGGATTTACTTAAGGTCATCCGTGAGGGGAAGGGTAAGTTCAAGCCCATGGATGGCACAGTCTTTCTACCACGCTGCTGGCCACATGCATGCGGATTTTCTTGTTGATTTTGTGTGTGTATTGTTCATTGACCTGGGTTTTCCCTCTGCAATACCAGTAAGTAAAATTGAGCTTCTAGTAAGTCTGAGAGGAAGGGCTTAATGCATGAGACAGCAACTACCACCATGCTTGAACTGTTTCATCAAAAAGCACAACAATGGATGTTTGTATAAAGGTGGTGTTGTGCTTGGAGGTGGATATTAGGTTGGTGCAAAAGTAATCGTGGTTTTTGCAATCCCTTTTAATGGCAGAAACTGCAATTAGTTTTGCACCGACTGAATATTATTCATTTCTTTCCGTCTTCTATTCCCTAATAATGCAATTAGAGAAAAATGCAAGGTCATGATCACTGTGATGAAATGATGAGCCCACCCATCTAAATGAAATCCCTTATTTGAGACCCTGGGTCATAGTGAGATGTGTGAGGCTGTCTTTCAGGCTGTATTAGCAGAGAAGTGAGAATATCTATACAGTGTTTAAGTAGTGTTGGGGTTTTTGCAATAGAGAATAAAAATCTAGAGCAATACAAGTATGCTGGCAAGCAGTTCTCTTCTGCATGATCCTAACTGACTTTGGTAGGGTTGGGGTATTTTGAAATATCTTCATTTCTTGATTTTCATTGCTTTCCCTATTTTGAGGTGGTTACATTTACACTGGGGATATTTGGGGGATGAATACTTGTTGGTTTTGGTTTGAATCTCTAAAAATCAGGATACAGTGGGTTACTTTTTTGGAGGAGGTGAAGACAAGGCTGTGAACACCTTCCCAGAAACTTGAAGAACTGAGAATTTTGTTTATCTGTTTTTTTTCTTAAACCTGTTGTTGAAATGTTATTTAATATATGGTCAGGGCATAGCTATCCACTGCTGTCAGGCATGGCTGCTTAAACAGGGGCCCAGGGTGTTTATGTTGTGGCCAAGTACTTGGCACCCCCGGGAAGTGTGGCCCTGCCTGTGCCTTTTCTTTCTTTCTTTCTTTTTTTTTTTTTTTTTTTTTTTTTGAGAAAGGGTCTTGCTCTATTCCCCAGGCTGGAGTGTAGCGAGATCATGGCTCACTGCAGCCTCAGCTACCTGGGCTCAGGTAATCTTCCCGCCTCAGCCTCCTGAGTAGCTGGAATTACAGGTATGCACCACCACGCTGGCTAATTTTCATATTTTTAGTAGAGATGGGGTTTCACTATGTTGGTCAGGTTGGTCTTGAACTGCTGGCCTCAAGTGATCTGCCTGCCTCGGCCTCCCAAAGTGCTGGGATTACAGGTGTGAGCCACTGCACGTGGCCTTCCTGTGAAGTGAATTTTTAATTGTATTTTAAAATTTGTTTTCATGTTTTTGTTTGTTTTGAGACAGAGTCTTGCAATGTTGCCCAGGCTGGAATGCAGTGGCCTGATCTCGGCTCACTTAAACCTCTGCCTCGTGGGTTCAAGTGATTCTCCTGCCTCAGCCTCTGGAGTAGCTGGGACTTCAGGCCACCCCGCCACCACACCCAGCTAATTTTTGTAGTTTTAGTAGAGACGAAATTTCACCATGTTGGCCAGGCTGGTCTTGAACTCCTGACCTCAAGTGATCTGCCCACCTCGGCCCCCCAAAGTGCTGGGATTACAGGCATGAGCCACCATGCCTGGCCTGTTTTCATGATTCTGATACATTATATTTTTACACATTTATAGGATACATGTAAAATTTTGTTACATGCATAGAATGCATAATGATTGTAGGGACCAAGGGAATATCTTCTGCTTTGCCCTCTGAAGTTTCGCTGAAAAATTAACTTGTAAAAAGGCAGATTAGTTGGAGAAAAGACACACAAATTTAATTAATGTGTACACTGGGAGAACCGCAGAGTGATTACCCAGAAGGGAATTTACTGGCCAGCATTTACATTATTTTTGGTTGGTTTGTTGGCTATGAAAGTAGGCTACCTTTATTATTACTGCGATGACTTCTAGGTAGTGTTTTGGTTCTTTGCATTTATTACATTACTTGAAGAAGCATTCATTCATTTATTTTTGATTTTTTGAGATGGAGTCTCACTCTGTCACTCAGGCTGGAATGCAGTACCGCCATCTGGGCTCACTTCAACCTCCGCCTCTCGGGTTTTAGTGATTCTCTCTCCTCAGTCTCTCGAGTAGCTGGGACTACAGGTGTGCACCACCATGCCCGGCTAATTTTTGTATTATTAGTAGAGACAGGGTGTCACCATGTTGGCCAGGCCGGCCTCAAACTCCTGACCTCAAGCGCCTGCCTCAGCCTCCCAAAGTGCTGGTATTACAGGCATGAGCTACCAGGCCCGGCCTCATTCGTTTATTCTAACTGGAATCGGTTTGTCTGAGTTCAAGACCCTGGGCTCTGGCACTTCAGATAACATGCATCTCTGGGCCCCAGTTTCCTTATCTGTATTATAGGGATAAAAACAATAAGATTGCCACGAGGATTAAGTGACACAGAGGAACAAAGGAGCACTTAGTAAATGTTAGTCTTACCAGAAGTTTATTTCGGATCACCGGGCTGCTGGGGTCCTCCCTGTCCTGGAGGCACTCGCTTCAGTAGCGGACCCAGGTGGTGCAAAGTGCGTGCTAGAAGCACACTGGGTGATTGCGCAGCCACCTGTCCCAGGGAGTGGAGGTGAAAAGATGAGAGAAACCAGGACTTTGGGAAATAAAAGTCGACTTGACAACAGGGACTTTTAACGGGCACAGTGGCGACCTCTGACTCACATTTTAAATTTCCCATATTTTCCACCGCTTCCCTATCGTGTGTGTATTCAAGCATATCAATTGCTGCCAATATGTAGGGGTGTCCCATATTGGGGAGCAAAGCAGAAGAGAGGCTTTAAAAATATATATCTCCGCAGCTCATTTCGGCTGCCGAAGCTCAGCGGCGGGTCGGAGGTAGGCCGGCCCGGGGGCGGGGCTCCGTCCGGAAGGCGGGGCCCTCCTGGGGCGGGGTCGGTGTGGGGGCGGGGCCTGGGTGGGGCCTAGGCGGGCGCGATGGCCCGGGACTCTGGCGCGCAGGGTGCATTTCGGGATGGAGCAAGCGCAGCGCGAAGTTGGGCGCCCGCCGGCTGCAGCAGAACCCCGCCCGCGGCGCTCTAGGACTGCATCTCGGCCTCCGGGTCGCGACCTGGCTGTCCTGCTGGGTCCCGGGCCTCGGGTCGGCTTCAGGCGGTTAAGGGGTGCATGCTCTGCACCCCTGCGGGAGCCCGGTGGGATTGGCCTGCGGGGTGGTCAACATGAGTCCTGCCAAGTGCAAGATCTGTTTCCCTGATCGCGAAGTAAAGTAAGTAAGCCTGCAATTGTAATGACCATGATCTTTTACAAACTTACGCAGTCTTCCTTCCCCTTGAAGTCAAGCTGTGTGTCCTCTTAGCACCGCCCCCTTTACCCCCACCCCCATCCAAAGAAACACGGGCTTGAGTTGGCTGCTGGGGAGATGATGCCCGCCTTGGAAACTCTAGCTGGCCTTGGCGGGAGGGGAGGAAGGAGGCTGGACGTTGGGGGTGACGTTGCTTGGAGGAGGTCGCTTCGGAGCACACAGGTGCCTAAAGATCAGCCCTTGCGCAGGGGCACGCCTTCCCCGCTTTCTCTCCTTCGCCTCCAGAAGCTGATGGTTGTGGAAGGCAGGTCTCTTTTGAAGCTGAAGCCTGGGCAAATCGACGTGAACTTGAGCAGGCTCTCATTGAGGGTCATTTTCTGAGCAGATGAGCGTAGGCATCTCAGTGCCTGAGTGCTTTGTAGCTCTACCTACTTGGTTTTGTTTCTTTCCTTTTTTGTCCTCATTTTATTGCACTTAAAAAGAATTACCAAATTGATGGTGTGTCTGTTGTTGACAATTCAGAAAATTATAGATAAGCAAAAAAGAGGAACAAAAATCACCCATAATTCCACCCCTGTGATGTTTGTTAACAGTTGTATATTCTTCAGCTTTTTTTTTTTTCCGGTGCAGATATGTTTTAATTTATAAACTTGAATCATGCAGAACGTTCTGTAACTCACTTTTTCATTCAACATTAAGTATTTTTCTACCACTGGGCTTGGCAAACTATGACCCACTGCCTGTTTTGGGATGGCCTGCAAGCAGAGAATGGTTTTTTCATGTTTAAGTGATTGAAAAAAAAATCAAAAGAAGATTGTTTTGTGACACGTGAAAATTACATGAAATTCAAATTTCAGTGTCTACGAAAAAAGTTTTATTGGACTGCAGCCTGCTCATCGATTTATGATTTATGCCTAGTTCATGGCTGCTTTTGTGCCTCACTGGAGGATTTGAGTGGTGGGACAGAGACTGACCAGATCTAAAGTACTTACTGCCTGACCCTTGACAGACAATGTTTGCCAATCCCTGCCTACAACATGCTTTTACTGGATTCATAGTGTTCCTTTAAATGGGTGCACCTTAAAATGTATGAATAATCCTCGCCAGGCAGGGTGGTGCAAGCCTGTAGTCCCAAATACTCAGGAGGCTGAGGAGGGAGGATGCTTTTGCCCAGGAGTTGGAGGCTGCAGTGTGCTATGATCGTTCCTGTGAACAGCCACTGCACTCTAGCCTGGGCAACATAGCAAGACCCCATCTCTGAAAAAAAATGTGCCCAGGTGTGGTGGCTCATGCCTGTAATCCTAGCGCTTTGGGAGGCCAAGGCAGGAGAACTGCTTGAACTCGGGAGTTCGAGACCAGCTTGGGCAACATAGTGAGACCCCCATCTCTACTTAAAAAAAAATTAGCTGAGGATGGTGATGCATGCCTGGAGTTTCAGCTACTGGAAAGACTAAGGGAAGAGGATTGCTTGAGCCTGGGAGATCGAGGCTGTAGTGAGCAATGGTTGTGCTATTGCACTCCAGCCTGGGCAACAGAGCAAGACCCTGTCTCTTAAAAAAAAAGTATAAGTAATCCCCTATAAGTAGCGGATATTCAGGCTGTTTCTCTCTGTTTTTTTTTTTTTTTTTGGGGGGGGGCTATTATCAACAGCACAGTGAGGAATACCCCTGTAGCTGAATCTCTGCCTCCATCCTTTATTTTCTTAGGATATGTTTACCTGGTCCATAAACATTCATGCACACCTCCCATGCATAAGGCCTGCAACTGGTAGCAGGAAGGGTCGCAAAAATGGTTGGAAACCGTGACCTCCGCCCTCCAGGAACTTCGGTTCCATTGTGGAAGGCAGATGTCTTCTCAGTAACTCCAATTCGAGGCTGATGGGTGCAACAGTAATAGCCACTACCACTCATGGGGTGCTTTCAGTATGCCAGGCCAAGTGCTTTGTAGGTGTGGTCTCATGCCATCTTCAAAATACCACTGTGGGGGCACTAAGTGGAGAGTGTTGTACCCATTTCACAAACCACTTTAATGGAAAAAAAGAAAAACCTCACACAAATTTGGAATTGTCCCAGCAAGTCCAGGACGTGGGGTCCCCCTATTTATAATAATATGGACATACTTTGTTGGGGGACTACATTGTTCCTCTCTTAGCTTAGAGTGGCTAAAAAGATGGATTTGGACGATCTAACTTTGCCACCAAGCTGTGTGATCTTCTGGAGCAGGTACCATCAAGCCTTGGAACCTCAGTTTCCACATCTGTCCAAGGGACTAGCCCTCATAGGCCTTTCTAGAGTTGTTATTATTATTATTATTATTATTATTACAGACAGGGTCTTGCTCTGTTGCCCAGACAGTGGCATGATCATGGCTCATTACAGCCTCAGCCTCCGGGCTCAAGCAGTCCTCTCACCTCAGCCTTCCAAGTAGTGGGACCACAGGCATGCGCCACCACACCCAGCTAATTTTTGTATTTTTTAGAGAGACAGGGTTTCACCATGTTTCCCAGGCTGGTCTTGAACTCTTGAGCTAAGCAATCCTCACAACTCAGCTTCCCAAAGTGCTGGGATTACAGGCATGAGCCACCATGCCCGGCTCTTTCTTGGTCCGTTGAGACTCTGTGTGGAAGTCGCTGGTCTTGAGTACTGCCCTGGGTCAGCACAAACATTGATGAAAACTAATAAGTAAAGACAGAGTTCGGTTATGAAAGAGCCCTCTGGAGTTGGGAGGCATTTGGGATCTTGTGCTGAAGGCTCGGGCCATCTAAGAAGCCAGAACTCCTGAGAAGGTGAGGTCGCAAATGATGACTGATTTTTCATGGCATGAGAACGGGGTCACAGTTCAGAGAGTAGAGAAATGATTGTGGATCAGAGTGCAGAAGGGCTTGAAATAAAGTTGGGGATGAGGAGGCAGAAGTTGTTTTTTAATGAGTCCCATTTCACTGCCATGCAATTCTGCTCTGAAAGGCCAGCTGCCTGCATGCAAATATTGGCTGTAGACCTATCAGGGGTTTTCACTCTTGGCTACACATTAGAATTTCCTGGTGGGGAGATTTTTGAAAAATCTGGATGCCGGGGACCCCACCTCTACCCCCTAGACATGCTGATGGGACCCCGACATCAGAATCTTATAAAGTTTTTCATGTCAGGGTTGAAAACTCGTGCCTAGCTTGGGGTCAGCAGACTGCTATTATAAACGGCCAGACAGTAAATATTTTTGGCTTTGTGGCCATGTGGTCTCTGTTGTAACTACTCAACTCTGCTGTTTCCTGCACCAGAAGCCATAGTTATGTAATTGAACAGGCCTGGCTGTGTTTCAATCAGACATTATTTATAGATGGGGAAATTCAAAGTTCATATAATTTTTATGTGTCACAAAACAGGATTCTTTTGATTTTTTTTTTTTTTTCGATGACTTAAAAATGTTGGCTGGGCATGGTGGCTTATGTCTATAGTCCCAGCACTTTAGAAGACCAAGACAGGAGGGTTGCTTGAGGAGTTTGAGACCAGTCTGGGCAACATGATGAAACCCCGTCTCTACAAAAATAAACCAATTAGTTGGGCATGGTGGTGCACACCTGCAGTCCCAGCTACTCAGGAGGCTGAGGTGGGAGGATCACTTGAGCCCAGGAGTTTGAGGCTGCAGTGAACTATTTTTGCACCACTGCACTGTAGTCCTGGCAACAGAGGGAGACCCTGTCTCTATAAAAAACAAATAAGGCTGGGTGCGGTGGCTCACACTTGTGGTCCCAGCACTTTGGGAGGCCAAGGTGGGCAGATCGCCCTGAGGTCAGGAGTTCAAGACCAGCCTGGCCAACATGGTAAAACCCTGTCTCTAATAAAAATACAAAAATTAGCAGAGCGTGGTAGCACACATCTGTAGTCCCAGCTACTCGGGAGGCTGAGGCAGGAGAATCACTTGAACCTGAGAGGTGGAGGTAGCAGTGAGCTGAGATCACACCGCTGCACTCCAGCCTGGGCGACAGAGCAAGACTCCCTTTCGAAACAAACGAAACAAAACAAAAAACAATCTAAAAAGTTAAAACCGCTCTTAGCCTGTGGGAGATACAAAAACAGGTGGCCGAGTGGATTTGACCCATGGGTCCTAGTTTGCCCACTCACCCCTGGCCTAGCCAAGGTAGTCATCCCAGGGGGTACTGATGGGGCAGGTGGCTTGAGAAATTTCCAAGGGTCCATTTCTGGAGAGCGTGGTTTTGTGCTGTTTGAACGATATCAACCTTTACTGGGCTACACAGTGTTCTTTCTTGCTTTCTTGTTTGGAAGTAGTTGTAATTACAGAATTGCCTGGCTCAGAATCAGCTCTTAGCAGTGCGGGTAGCCGTTACCATCTCTATTTTATAGAAGAAAAGAGAGGGAAGAAATTGAAGGTCTGATTAATGCCGGGGCCCTAGCCTAATGGCCCAGCCTGGGCTCCTGTAATGCTATCCTGCAGACGTACATGGTAGCTAAAGTGTTGCAAGCTGTTTACTTTGGCTAGGTCCAGGGATAAACTGTTAATTCCATCATGTGAGGAAACTGAGGCAGGGAGTATTGAAGTAACTTTCCCAGGATTACACAGGTTATAAGCGGTAGATTCTGGCTTCAAAGCCTAGGAGGATGGCCGCAGTCTACCAGAGTTTCTAAACTGCGGCTCTGTTGACACTTGGGGCTGTCCAGTTCTTTGTGGGGCTGTCCTGTGCATTGCAGGGTGTTGAGCAGCATCCCTGGTCTCCACCCACTAGATGCCAGTAGCGCATCCCCCAAGTTGTGACAATCAAAGATGTCTCCAGGTATTGCTCCCCGGGGAGCAAAATTTCCCCCAGTTAAGCACTCAGGGCTGGGCGCGGTGGCTCACCCCTGTAATCCCAGCACTTTGGGAGGCCAAGGTGGGCAGATCACCTGAGGTCAGGAGTTCGAGACCAGCCTGGCCAACATAGTGAAACCCCATTTCTACTAAAAATACAAAAATTAGCCAGGCATGGTGGCAGGCACCTATAGTCCCAGCTACTCGGGAGGCTGAGACAGGAGAATCGCTTGAATCTGGGAGGCAGAGGTTGCAGTGAGCCGAGATGGTGCCACTTCACTCCAGCCTGGGTGACAGAGCTAGACTCTGTCTCAAAAAAAAAAAAAAAACCAACCAACCAAACAAAAAACCTCAGCATTATACATGTTTGTCTCTTATTTGAGAGGAATATAAGAGGCCATATGTGTAATGCATGTTTTAAAAGTCCAGTTAATAGAGGGGCTTCCATTTATCTCAGATTGTCTTTCTGCCTAGAAGTTAGATTCTGAGGTCAGCTAGAGTTGGATTTGAAACGGGGCTCTGCCACTTGCCAGCTGTGAAACTGGAGGTAAATGGTCCTCTCTGAACCTCGGTTTCCTCATCGTGAACCTGGAGATGACAGACTCCTCCATACAGGGCTGTGGAGATTCACTGAGAGGCCCCCTGTGCCCAGTCCATAGTGGGCAGCCGAGAATGTTTATTTCCTCCATTCCTGATACTATTCTGCCTGGTCTTGTGCTCCGGCAGCTGACTGCATTTGGTGTTTGGCTGACACCTCTGCTGTTGATTGTACCTGAAGTCATTTCCAAAGTCACCTTGAAACATTTCAGCTCTCACCCTTGCCGTGCTGTATAAGGACAGGGCTTCTCACTGGACAATGGCACTTAGGATGATCCTCCTTCAGTGGAAGCAAATGCTGGCCGAAGGTCAGCTCTCTAGAGCCAATGTTGGTTGGCTTCCAGCTTTATCAAAAAGAATTAAAATAGCCACTTGCCTGGAGATTGGGCCTGAAACAAGGCCAGTCCGGCAGCTTTGTGTGTTCGCTTGCCTAGCCTGCGGTAATGGGCTTGTGGCCTGCCTGATGGAGGGGCTCTGTCACCAGTTTCGAAATCAACATGGTGGCCAAGAATGGTTTTTTTGCCCCCTAGGCCACAAATGAAGTTTTTCTTTGTTGTGCTTTAGGTCAAATTGCTAGAGTTTTAATGTTTGTGTGTGTAGAAATGGGATGTCTCAGACTTTCTGAAGCTGAACCATCAAGCCAGCCAGTCAGGGAAGGTCGTGGACAGAATGAGGGGTGCGGCTGTGTGTGGGAATGTCGATTAGTACAACCTCTGTGGAAAACAGTTTGGAGAGTTCTCAAGGAACTAAAATAGATCTGCCAGTCTCTCCAGCAATCCCACTACTGGGTATGTACACAAAGGAAAAGAAATCACTCAGTCAGATTCGCTTTTCATTGGGAGGATCTTAACATGATTGGTTGAAAACAATAAATAAAATTAGCAAGGAGTCCAGTTGTGGGGTCTCACGCCTGTAATCCCAGCACTTTGGGAGGCTGAGGCAGGCAGATCACTTGAGGTCAGGAGTTCAAGACCACTCTGGCCAACGTGTAAAACCCCGTCTCTACTAAAAATACAAAATTTAGCCGGACATGGTGGCGGGCACCTGTAACCCTAGTTGCTCGGGAGGCTGAGGGAGGAAAATTGCTTGAACCTGGGAGGTGGAGGTTGCAGAGAGCCGAGATTATGCCACTGCTCTCCAGCCTGGGCGACAGAGTGAGACGCAGTCTCAGAAAAATAAAATAAAATAAAATAAAGAAATAATTATATCAAAAGACACCTGTACTTGTATAGTTATCACAGCACTATTCACAGTAGCAAAGATATGGAATCAACCTAAGTGTCCACCAACAGATGACTAGATACAGAAAATTTGGTGTATATATATATATAATTTTTTATGGCTCAGTAGTATTCTTTTGTGTGTATGTGTGTGTGTGGTGTGTGTGTGTGTGTATACCTACATGTATACATGGGTGTTCCTCTTACAAAATTAATAGCTTTTTTCTTATTGAAAATAACACATCATTGCAGAACATTTTTTAAAATATAGCAAAGAGATAACGGCTCTTAATACTTTAGCATTTTTTTCCCCCAGATCAGGGGTCTGTCTACAAATGATGTCCCTTGGGTTGCATCTACCTTTTTTTGTAAATAAATGAAGTTCTCTTTTTTTTTTTTTTTAGGTAGAGTTTCACTCTGTTGCCCAGGCTGGAGTGCAGTGGTGTGATCTCAGCTCACTGCAACCTCTGCCTCCCGGGTTCAAGTGATTTTTGTGCCTCAGCCTCCCCAGTAGCTGAGACTACAGGCGTGCGCCACCATGCCCAGCTACTTTTTGTGTTTTTTTAGTTGGGATGGGGTTTCATCATGTTGGCCAGGCTGGTCTCAAACTCTTGCCCTCAAGTTATCTGCCCATCTTCGCCTCCCAAAGTGCTGGGATTACAGGCGTGAGCCACCGTGCCCAGCGTAGCATTAACCTTTTAGAAGCTAGAAAGCAGATGAATGAGTGGTCACTGGCTTAAGGCTGAGTCCTAATGGAGCAGTGAGGAAAGTTGGGGACCCCTGGCCATCTGTACCACAGAACCCCCAAAAGGCATAGTGTCTGGCAGCAAGGGATGCCCCTGGAGCTGAGGGGTAAGGAGGGTACCAAAATGAGAAGGACAGGGTGGAAGACTCCCAGGTCCCCTCCCCTGTCTCCTGCGGCAGGGGCTGTCCACTTCGACCCCAACAGAAGGCAGCAGTTCAAAGGTACATATAGAGGGTCTTGGGAGAGGGGATCGACAGGCACAGTTGAGGGCATGGGGCCTGTATCCCAAATAGGAAGATAAGGGTCTGAATAGGTGCTGAATTCTTAGAACTTCCCCGTTCCCCCCGGGGCTCCAGGCTGACCTTTACTGTCCAGGCAGAAGACTGGAAAACTTCTCCCTGGGGAATCTGGCCAGCGAGAGAGAAAGACACAAAGATACTGACTCAGGGGATCCCCAACGCACTCCTACCTCACCCTACATTGAGCTCAGGGTCAACCAGGTCCACCACAGTCTCAGAAATTCTGTTCTCACTCATAGTCACAAGGTTGGAACCAAGGCTTCCCTGACATTTGGGTTCAGTTTCTTTTTCTTTTTCTTTTTTGAGATGGAGTTTTGCTCTTGTTGCCCAGGCTGGAGTGTAATGGCACAATCTCAGCTCACTGCAACCTCCGCCTCTCAGGTTCAAGCGATTCTCCTGCCTCAGCCTCCCATGTAGGGGGGATTACAGGTGCACGCCACCAAGCCCGGCTAATTTTTTGTATTTTTAGTAGAGATGGGGTTTCACCATGTTGTCCATGCTGCTCTCAAACTCCTGAACTCAGGTGATTCACCTGCCTCGGCCTCCCATAGTGCTGGGATTACAGGCGTGAGCCACTGCACCCGGCCCTGAGGTCCAGTTTCTCATATGTAAGTCAAGGTCCAAACCAGTAGACACAGGAAGCTTGGAAGAAACAGAAACCACGCTGGAGAAGAGAAGTTTAAAAAGCTCTCATTAATATCATCGTTGAGGTCAGACAGGATGTTGCACTCATAGGAAGAGGATGCTATAACAAAGGGAACATTTGTAGGCCAAAAACAGGCTCGTAGACATCAAAAACATGATAGCAGAAATGAAGAACTCCACTGAATGTTTAGAAGATGAGGCTGAGAAAAATCAACCAGCAAGTAGAAGAAGAGAGAGAATAGGAGAGGGGAAAAATGCATAAACCAGTAGGCCAGTGTAGGAATTTCAACATCCAGATAATAGGACTTCGGGAAAAAATAGAGAAAAAAAGAGGCAAGGACATCATCAAGGAAGTATTTGTTTCTTGTTGTTGTTGTTGTTGTTTGAGATGGAGTCTCACTCTATTGCCCAGGCTGGAGCGCAGTGGCACAATCTTGGCTCACTACAACATCCGCCTCCTGGGTTCAAGTGATTCTCCTGCTTCAGCCTCTCAAGTAGCTGGGATTACAGATGCACACCACCATGCCCGGCTAATTTTTGTATTTTTAGTAGAGACGGGGTTTCACCATGTTGGCCAAGCTGGTCTCTAACTCCTGACCTTAAGTGATCTTCCCACTTCAGCTTCCAAAAGTGCTGGGATCACAGGCGTAAGCCACCATGTTCAGCCCATCAAGGAAGTATTTGAAGACAAATTCCCAGGATGGAAGTTTCCAGATTGAGAGGGCCTGAGAGATGTGCAGCCTCATTGGTGGAAGCAGACACATACTTGAGCTCATCACTGTGAAATCATAGAGTTCTGGGGACAGAGGGACGCTCCTATAAGCATCTGGATATGAAAAAACAGGTCACCTACAAAGGATCAAGGATCAGAATTACTCTTGTTCTAGCAGCCTTGGAAGCCACAACACAATGGCACAAGGCTTCTAAAACTTGAAGAAGGTTTTCCTTCCTGAAATTTCTTTTTGTTTGAGATAGAGTCTCACTCTGTCGCCCAGGCTGGAGTCCAGTGGCGCGATCTCGGCTTACTGCAACCTCCATTCTCTGGGTTCAAGCAATTCTCCTGCCTCAGTCTCCCAAGTAGCTGGGATTACAGGTGCACAACTCTGTGTCTGGATAACTTCTGTATTTTTAGTAGAGATGGGGTTCACCATATTGGCCGGGCTGGTCTCAAACTCCTGACCTCAAGTGATCTACCCACCTCAGCCTCCCAAAGTGCTAGGATTACAGGCATGAGCCACCATGCCTGGCCCTTCCTAGCATTTCACACACAGCCAAGTGGTAAGGTTGAATGTGAGGGCAGGAGAAAGGCTGAAGTGCAATGGTGCAATCCTAGCTCACTGCAGCCTTGACTTCCTGGGCTCAAGTGATCCTTCTACCTTAGCCTCCTGAGTAGCTAGGACTACAGGCAGGTGCCACCATGCCTAGCTAATTTAAATTTTTTTTTTTTTTTTTTGAGATGGAGTCTGACCCTGTTGCCCAGTCTGGAGTGCAGTGGTGCAATCTCGGCTCACTGCAACCTCCACCTCCTGGGTTCAAGCAATTCTCCCTCCTCGGCTTTCCAAGGTGCTGGGATTACAGGTGTGAGCCACCACGCCTGGCCCTGAATAGCCTTTCTTAGAAAGCTACTTGAGGATGTCTTCCACTGAAACCAGAGGGTAAACCAAGGAAGAGCAACACACAGGAGACAGGAAACAGGAGATTCAACATAGACTGAAAGGGAGTCTCCAGGGTGATGGTGATAAGGAAGCCCAGTCAGGAATAGGGCAGGGAAATTGAGGGCATCATTGTCATGCGCCTTGCCATTCTACCATCTTCTTAAGTGGATGAAACTACTGGAGGATATGCCCCAGCAAAACAAGGGAGTCTACCAAGAAAGACGAGCCACCCATTCCCCCAAATTAGGAATCCAACCCCAAGGAAAGGCAAAGGGAATTCTAGGGATGTCAGCAAAGGGAAGCCCCAAAACAATGGTGATGTAGGGGCCTAGAGGACAGCCAGTACCTACGGAAGGAGAACAGAGGCCTTCAGGAGAGATGTCACCAGTGGAAAAAAACAGAACTGATCAATTATTTATTATTATTATTTTTAATGAGATGGGGTCTTGCTACATTGCCCAGGCTGGTCTCGAACTCCTGGTCTCAAGCAGTCCTCCTGCCTTGGCCTCCCGAAGTGCTGGGATTACAGGTATGAGCCACTGCATGTGGCCTGATCAATTATCTTATGTGTACTGGGAATCTATTAGGAGGAGTGGGGTGATTTAGCAACAGGTACAAGGAACACTAAGTAAAGGAAAAAAATCATTAACTCCAGGAAAAGGCAAAAAGAAAGGAACTAAAATCTGGTACACTGCAGCTCTCATATGTGAATAATGATCACAAACTTCATATGTGAATAATGATCACAAACAAGTAAAACATTGAATACCCAGTTTGCTAAATTACAGTAGACTTCTATGGTATTGACCAGCTGGTGGAGGGGAGCCGATGGGGTGGCCTTGTGAGATAACTAAATTCACATCTCTCAGGATGGGAAGGCCATAGATGCTGTCTCACATGGATGACTCACAAGATTGCATACACTTGTTGTTTAGGACTATGGAGATGTGTAATTGCTAGAAAAAATCAGCATCAGTTTCCTCTGGTGTGGAGGGACAGAGCAGGAAACCTGTTTTGTTGTTAAACATTTAAAAAATTGTTTTCAGTTTTCTAAAGAAATTTTGTGGGCTGGGCGTGGTGGCTCATGCCTGTATTTTGGAAGGCCGAGGTGGGAGGATCACTTGAAGCCAGGAGTTCAAGACCAGCCTGGGCAACAAAGTGAGACCCCTGTCTCTACAAAAAAGAAAACTTAAAAACTTCTGAAATACAAATGTAGAAAAGTACATGAAAGATATTAATACCATGTAACAAGTCGGAACGATTAGAATGTGTGGACTTCTTCCCTGATCATAAAACTCTCACCCTTGTTATAAGTTTTTTAGTATTATTCAGGTTCCTAAACAATGGGCATGTAAAGTAAAAATTAACTTAGGATTAAAAATCTAAACATCCACCTTGGGACAGGTAGAAGAAACTGCTCCTTCTAGTTCATGTGCTGGTACCTTAGCTGGCCTCTTAAGGTGCTTTCAGTTGGGTACAGTGGTTCACGCCTGTAATCCCAATGCTTTGAAAGGCTTTGACGTCACTTGACATCAAGAGTTTGGACGAGCCTGGGCAACATAGTGAGACCCCATCTCTACAAAAATGTTTAAAAGTCGGCTGGGCTTGGTAGTGCCCTCTGTGGTCCCAGCTACCCAAGGAGGTCGAGGCTGCAGCGAGCCACGATTGCACCACTGCATACTAGCCTAGGTGACAGAATGAGATCCCGTCTCAAAAAAAAAAAAAAAAAAAAAAAAAAAACCGAAGGTGCTTCCTGCCCTTGAGCCTCCTTGTAAATTGCTTCAGGGGCTCTGGAGAGCAAGTGCAAAGCAGGGGGGCTCTGGTGCAGTTTGGCTCCTCTGCTCCACTGGCTTTACAGGTGCCGAGCTCTGAGTCCCAGGCTTCTTCCCTCATGCACGTCTGTCCCTCATTCTTATTCTGCAGGCCGAGCATGTCGGGACTCCACCTGGTGAAGAGGGGACGGGAACACAAGAAGCTGGACCTGCACAGAGACTTTACCGTGGCTTCTCCCGCTGAGTTTGTCACACGCTTTGGGGGGGATCGGGTCATCGAGAAGGTACAGATGGGTCTCGGCACTCTGGGTGGGGTCCGATTGGGGTGCAGGGGCCCCTCCTCTCAGCTGGAGGTGGGAGATTCGGGTTCAGGCTCATTCTGCCTGCTGCAGAGAGGGGGTGAGGGCCACGCTCCTCTGAGTTTTAATAGTTTAACCCTCAAATAGAAATAATAGTGAAGCCTCTTTCAAAGGGCTATTGTGAGGATGAAATGAAATAAGACAGGTAAAACACATTGTACTGTAAAACACTCAAAAAGTGTTAAGGGTGATCACAATGACACCAAAGGAATAAAAAAAAAATCATTCACTGGGCTCGGCACAGTGGCTCATGCCTGTAATCCCAGCACTTTGGGAGGGTGAGGTGGGCAGATCATTTGGGCCCAGCCTGGGTTTGTGTTCAAGTTCAAGACCAGCATGGACGACATGACAAAATCCTGTCTCTGCAAAAAAATTAAAAAATTAGCAGGATGTGGTGGTGTACACCTGTAGTCCCAGCTACTCGGGAGGCTGAGGTGGGAGGATCACTTGAAGCTGGAAGGTCGAAGCTGCAGTGAGCTGTGATTGCACCACTGTACTCCAGCCTGGGTGACAGAGCAAGACTCTGTCTCAAAAAAAAAAATATATGTATGTGTATATATATATATATATATATATATATATATATTTCAGACAAACAGCCATCCATCCATCCATCCATTTGATGATCCATTCATGTGGATGGCAGACTTTGAGCTCCTGCTCTGTGCTGGGGTGTGTGCCATGGAAATACATAGAAATACCAAGAGGAATGATGTGCTGCGGGGGCTGCAGGAGGCTCTGCAGCTGTGAGGTGGACTCGGGGTAGCACGTGGCCCCCAGCGCAGGTAGATGTGCATCTACAGCTCCTTCCTTGTCTTCCCATGCAGGTGCTTATTGCCAACAACGGGATTGCCGCCGTGAAGTGCATGCGCTCCATCCGCAGGTGGGCCTATGAGATGTTCCGCAACGAGCGGGCCATCCGGTTTGTTGTGATGGTGACCCCCGAGGACCTTAAGGCCAACGCAGGTACCTGGGCCTTGACCCTCTCCTCCCATCACGCTCCATCCTTGCCTGCCCTCGCCTCCTTCCCCTGTGCCTAGGCAAGTCCATCCTGGACTCCCGATGGTCAGGACCTCTCATGAGTCTGTATTTATTTGTCCTTCCTTCTTTATTTAATTAAAATGTCTGCTGACATCAAGAACAACTCATGTGCCTTACAAAAATGCAGATGGTTAACATGCAGAGAGGAAATTCGATCTTTGAGAAATGTCTGTGTTCTAGCAGATTGGGGGCTGTTTCTCCTGCAGGTGTATGTAATTGTATTTCAATCATTTGTTCATTCTTCCGTTCATTTGCCTAAGTTTATTATAATGAATCATTCTATAAACAACTGTTGGATGATTTACTTTTTTCCTGAACAGTCTTATCCTTTTATAGGCCCTACTCCCCACAGCAGCCAAAGTGACCTTTTAAAAGCATAACTTCTTCTGCTGTATTTTCTGAAGGTTGTTAAAAACAAAAACCTCAGCCAGAGCGCTGGCTCACCCCTGTAATCCCAGCACTTTGGGAGGCTAAGGTGGGAGGATTGCTTGAGCCCTTGAGTTTGAGAGCAGCCTGGGTAACATAATAAGACCCTGTCTCTACAAAAAATAAAAATAAAAAAATTAACTGGGTATAGTGGCACGCACCTGTAGTCTCAGCTACTCAGGAAGCTGAGGTGGGAGGATCGCTTCAGCCCAGGGGGTCTAGGCTGCAGTGAGCTGTGATTACACCGCTGCATTCCAGCCTGGGAAACAGACTGAGACTCTGTCTCAAATAAAACAACATAAACCTAAAAGCATAACTCAGGTCCGAGCACAGTGGCTCACGCCTGTAATCCCAGCACTTTGGGAGGCCAAGATGGGCGAATCACTTGAGGCCAGGAGTTTTGAGATCAGCCTGCCCAATGTGGTGGAACCCCATCTCTACTAAAAATACCTCCCAAAAATTTGCCGGGCATGGTGGCAGGTGCCTGTAGTCCCAGCTCTTCAGGAGGCTGAGGCAGGAGAATTGCTTGAATCCAGGAGGCGGAGGTTGCAGTAGGCTGAGATCACTCCACTGCACTGCGGCCTGGGCGACAGAGTGAGACTGTCTCAAAAAAAAAAAAAAAAAAGCAAAACAAAAACCAACATAAGTCAGGTCTTCAGGTCTTTTTGTGCTTCTCCTTAAAATGCATCAGAGGCTGTGTGCTGTTCCCAATATTAGCAACCTCAGCACCATCCCCTAAGCCTTCCTGCCCCAAGCTCTTCACAGACATGGCCTCATTTGTTACTTACAGCTCTGTTTTACAGATGGCACAGTCGAGGCACAGGGATGTGAATTTATCACTTGTCCAGGGTCACACAACCATCATGTGATGCGGGTGGGATGGGAACCCTGGTCTGGGTTCAGAGCATCATCCAGTGGGTCCTCCCATCTTGGTTAGTCTAAAATTCAAAATTGTCACCCAGGCCTATTAAGTCCCCTCCTGGCTCCATCTTGAACCTCTTGCCCTCCATCAGCCGGGTACCAGTCACCCTGACCTCTGGTAGCTCCTGGGCCTGTTGCAGAGTCTTGGCACCTGCTGGAACCTCTATTGAAGGTGCTTCTCCCAGAGCCCTTTGTGCAGTGGACTCCCTCCCCACCCAGCCTGTAGGTCTCAACATGATCATCGCATCTCTCTCAGAGAACCTCATTTATTTTCTTCCCAGCACTGACCGGAGTCTGTAGTTATTGTGTTTATTTTCTTGTTTATCTTCTCCAACATAAAAGAAAAACTGGACAAGGACCAGGAAGCCTGTCTGGCCGCTCACTTCATCATCTCTGGAATCTCCCCGTTGGCCGACACTTCTGTGTTTGATAAACATAGGAGGCAGGCAGGCCGGAAGGAGCAGCTGCTCTGGGATTTCTTTCTGTGTTTGCATATAAAGTGCCACATTGTTCAATTTCAGGATCTTAGCAATTCTATAGTACAGATGTCCCAACCCCTGTGTTTGGATTGAGTCTAACTTTTCCTAGTCCAAAACACTGCTCAGTGGCTGTTCTCTGACTTTGGCCTCATTGATGTGTGGGTTTTTGTTTGTTTGTTTGTTGTTGCTTTTTTTCTGAGATGGAGTCTTGCTCTACCTCCCGGGTTCAAGCAATTCTTGTGCCTCAGCCTCCCAAGTAGCTGGGACTTCAGGCATGTACCACCACGACTGGCTAATTTTTGTATTTTTAGTGGAGATGGAGTTTCACCATGTTGGCCAGGCTAGTCTTGAACTCCTGACTTCAGGTGATCTGCCCGCCTCAGCCTCCCAAAGTGCTGGGATTACAGGTGTCAGCCACCGCGCCCAGCCAGCGTGTGTTTTTTTAAGGACATATTCCTAGACATGGAACTTCTGGCTTAAAGAGCATGAGTATTTTAAAATCAAAACATTGCGTTATGTTCAGCCTTAAAAAGGAAGGAAATCCCGTCATATGTTACAACACAGATGAACCTTGAGGACGTTATGCTGGTCACAAAAAGTGAAATAAGCCAGTCACAAAAAGACAAATACTGCATGATTCCATGTAGAAGGGGTAACTAGAGTAGTGCAATTCATAGAGAGAGAGAAGATCGTTGGTTGCCAAGGACATGAGGGAGGGAGAGAAAGGGAGTTGTTCATGAGTATAGAGCTTCAGATTCATAAAATGAAAAAGTTGTGGACATCTGTTTCACAATATAAATATACTTCACTATTGAACTGTACACTCAAAAATGGTTAAGATGGTAAATTTTGTGTGTGTTTTTTTTTTTACCATAATTTAAAACTCTGTATTGTATTTTTGTTTGTTTGTTTGTTTTTTGAGACAGGGCCTTGCTCTGTCACCCAGGCTGGAGCGCAGTGACATGATCACGACTCATTGTAGCCTCGACCTTCTAGGCTCAAGTGATCCTCCTGCCTTGGCCTCCCAAGTAGCTGGGACTATAGGCATGCACCACCATTCCTGGCTACTTTTTTTGGATTTTTTTTTTTTTTTTTTTTTGTGGAGACAAAGTCTCTGTGTGTTGCCCAAACTGGTCTTGAATTCTTGGCCTCAAGTGATCCTCCTGCCTCTGCCTCCCAAAGTGCTGGGATGTCAGGCGTGCACCACCGTGCCCAGCCCTATTATATTATTTAATGGTAAAACAATATTAAGATAAACTTTAAATAGGACTTTTTTTAAAAACCCACCTCTAATCCCAGTCTGTTGACAGATTACTTCCTTCTTCCTTCGTTCCTTTCCAGGCCTTCCAGGCCTTGTCCAGAAACATATCTGTATCACATAATTAAAATCATATTTCATTTTCTTTACATTTTCTTTCTTTTTTTTTTTTATTAGACAGAGTCTCGTTCTGTCACCCAGGCTGGAGTGCAGTGGTGTGATCTCAGCTCACTGCTACCTCCGCCTCCTGGGTTCAAGCGATTCTCCTACCTCAGCCTCCTGAGTACCTTGGATTACAGGTGCCCACCACCACGCCTGGCTAATTTTTGTATTTTTAGTAGAGACAGAATTTCACCATGTTGCCCAGGCCGGTTTCGAACTCCTGGCCTCAGGCCATCTGCCTGCCTCGGCCTCCCAAAGTGCTGGGATTACAGGCGTGAGCCACCACGCCTGGCCTTCTCTTTACATTTTCATACATGTTTGTCCATTGTTACCATAGAAATCTGCATGGTTCTGCTTTCCATGGCTGTACATAGTCACATCTTGTAATGTTCTGCCATTGATGTCAGTCTGTCAGCAGTTCCTTCCTTCTCCCTCCCATTTAATTTCAGAGTACATCAAGATGGCGGATCATTACGTCCCCGTCCCAGGAGGGCCCAATAACAACAACTATGCCAACGTGGAGCTGATTGTGGACATTGCCAAGAGAATCCCCGTGCAGGTAGATGGACTGGGGTGCCCAAGTGTGGCCCCTGAGTGTGGGATGATGCCCCTAGGTTCTAGTTCAATTCCACAGTTCACAAGGGGTGGAGGGTCCAGATCCCACAAGGCTCCAAATTCCTGGGCTGATGTAACACAGAAAAGAGTGTTCAAGTGAGGCGAAGCACATTCTGTTTTTAAAAAAAAATTTTATAGACAGGATCTCGCCATGTTGGCCAGGCTGGTCTCGAACTCCTGGGCTCAAGTGATCCTCCTGCCTTGGCCTCCCAAACTGCTGGGGTTATAGGCGTGAGTTACTGCACCTGGCTGGGAGGCATATTCTTGAAGGAAGATTGTTGCTCACCCCTTTCTGTGTTTGCAGGCGGTGTGGGCTGGCTGGGGCCATGCTTCAGAAAACCCTAAACTTCCGGAGCTGCTGTGCAAGAATGGAGTTGCTTTCTTAGGTAGAGTGTGTCCCCATCAGATACATGGGAATTGGGGTATTGCTGGGACACTCTGCTGGGTCTGACCCTCTTTCTCCTCCTGTCCTGTAAAGCGGAGGTCCGTTTGATTTCCCACCTCACACTTCTGTCGTGAGGAGTGAGTGAGTCCCAGGGTGGAAGGGCACATAGCTAATCTGCCAACTCATGGAATTAGGAGCTGCCCGCTTTTCAAAGGAAGACACACAGGCAGCCAACAAGCATATGAAAAAAAGCTCAACATCACTGATCATTAGAGAAAGGCAAGTCAAAACCAGAGTGAGATACCATTTCTTGACAGATTCTGAGATTGTGGAGAAAAGGGAACGCTTATGCACTGTTGGTGGGAGTGTAAACTAGTTCACCCATTGTGGAAAACAGTGAGGCAATTCCTCAAAGAGCCAAAAATAGAACTACCGTTTAACCCAGCAATCCTGTTACTGGGTATATACCCAGAGGAATTTAAAATCATTCGACCATAAAGACGCATGAACACGAATGTTTATTGCAGCACTATTCACAGTAGCAAAGGCATGGAGTCAACCTAAATGCCCATCAATAACAGATTGGATAAAGAAAATGTGGTACATATACACCATGGAATACTATGCAGCCATCAAAAATACTGAGATTATGTCTTTTGTGGGAACATGGATGGAGCTGGAGGCCGTTATCCTTAGCAAACTAACACAGGAACAGAAAACCAAATATTAAATGTTCTCACTTATAAGTGGGAGCTAAATGATGAGAACATATGGACACAAAGAGGGAACAGCAGACACTACTTGAGGGTGAAAGGCGAGAGGAGGGAGAAAAGCAGAAAAAATAACTATTGGATACTAGGCTTGGTACCTGGGTGATGAAATAATCTGTACCACAAACCCCTGTGACATAAGTTTACCTATATAACAAATTTGCACATGTAATTATGTCCATGTCCTTGTGTAGTTTAGGGGAATCATTTACTATCATGTAATAAATCCCTGCTTCTCCTTACCGGTGGGTCTGAAAACAGTCTTGCCCAAATGTGAAGCAACTCAGTGCGGATCAATACATGATATTCACCTGAGGTACAGCCGGGAGTCCCATGCCCATTGACGTTTTCTTTGTCTGTGGACTCTGAGTACATGTGGGCATCTGTCCTGTCTGACAGTTACCCAGGACTCTCATTATCAGTCTTAATTCCTCTGGAGGTTGATGATCCAGCCCACTGGACAAACTACAGCTCATAGGCCAAATCCAGCCTATGGCTTGCCTTTGTAAATAAAGTTTTATTAAAACATGGTCGTGCTTATTCGTTTATGTATTGCCTATGGCTGCTTTCACCCAACACTGGCAAAGTTGAGTCATTGTGACAGAGACCTGCAGGCTCGCACAACTGAAAGTATTTCCCATCTGGCTCTTTATAGAAAGAGTTTGCTAACCTATGGTCCAGCTCTTTGAGCTCCTAGCTTACCTCTTTGATCTAGCTTTCTGCCTTCCCTCCAAAGTGAATTTTGTATATGCCACTGTAGCCTAGGTTGTAACTCACAACAGGTTTACAATCCACATACGTTGAAAGTTGACTGATGCAATAGCAGACTAACAGATTATTTTTCTTCCCTGACATGAGGTTAAGCTCCTTGAGAGCTGGGACCAGAGAATTTTCTCTGTCATCTGCTCCTTACCTGGCCCCACCACCGTGCACTCGGTCGGCCTTCAGCCTCGAGGGTCTTGTGACTGACCGGATTCTGCTTCCCTTCTTGTCCCCGATTCCTCAGGCCCTCCCAGTGAGGCCATGTGGGCCTTAGGAGATAAGATCGCCTCCACCGTTGTCGCCCAGACGCTACAGGTCCCAACCCTGCCCTGGAGTGGAAGCGGTAAGGGACCCCGAGCTTCCCTCTGGGGGAGCTTCTCAGCCCAGTCTTGATAATGTGAACGGTCAGGGTGACAGAAGTATGCTTGTAACAATTCTTTCCATTACAAATGTTACTTACTTTTATTTTTTAGTCATTAGCAAAATATTTTAAAATTTTAAATTAGTAAACAAGTGGTATAATTTATTGTAGGCAATTTAGAAAATACAAGAAGTACAAAAAAGAAATGGAAATCATTCATAATCCTATGACCCAGTGTTGAACATTTATTACATTGTAGGTATCTACCTTTCCAACCTTTTTCTGGCCATATTCTTTGGGAAAAAAAAAAAAAAAAGACAGATCTTGGCCAGTGGCTCATGTCTGTAACCCAACCCCCCAACCCAGTGCTTTCAGAGGCTGAGGGAGGAGGATCACTTGAAGCCAGGAGTTCAAGACCAGCCTGGGCAACATAGCAAGACCCCATCTCCAGAAAAAGTAAAAAAAAAAAAAATTAACTGGTTATGGTGGTGCATACCTGTAGTCCCAACTACTGAGGAGGCTGAGGCAGGAGGGTGGCTTGAGCCTAGGAGGTCGAGGTTACAGTGAACTATGGTGGCACCACTGCACTCCAGCCTGGGTGATGAGACCCTGTCTTTAAAAGGAAACAACAACCCATCTTACATTTCCTAGTTTGTGACTTTTTTTTTCCTCACTAATGAATATCTTTCTATGTAAAAAATACACTTTACACCATTTAAGATGCCTGCATAGGATTATATCTTATGGATGTATCATAATTTACTTAACAGTCCTCATGGTTAAACAATTTAGGTTGTTTCCAATTTATTTTTTCTAATTTAAAAAATATTCAAAGGAATGGAGCTTTGATAATCTTACAGCTAAATTTATGTGTGCATTTTAATAATTTTCTTAGGATAAATTCCTAACAGTGGAGTTTCTAGGACAAATTAAAAAATAAATAGGACCGTCTCAAAAGTTTCCTATTAAATTTGTTTTTTTTTCCCCCCCCAAAAGTTGAATTTTAAATTTGGGATGGAAAATTTGCTTTCATTTGTTAAATCTTTGCATGGTGTTGGGAAATAATTATTCACATATAAATGACTCCATAAGGTAGAATTGGGATTTTTTTTTGGATTTAGATTAATATGGTTGTTGTTGGTCGACTCAGTCTGAGTTTCTTTCCTTTTTTGTTGTTTTGTTTTCGAGACAGGGTCTCACTCTGTCACCCAGGCCAAACTGTAGTGGCATGATCATAGCTCACAGCAGTCTTGACCTCCTGAGCTCAAGTGATCCTCCTGTATCAGCCTCCCGAGTAGCTGGGACTACAGGCCCATGCCACCATGCCTGGCTAATTATAAAATTTTTTTTGTAAAGACAAGGTCTCACTATGTTGCCAGGGTTGGTCTTAAAGTCCTGGGTTCAAGCGATTCCCCCCACCTCAGCCTCCCAAAGTGCTGGGATTATAAGCATGAGCCACCACGCCTGGCAGTTAGTTTCTTAAGCTTGATTTCTCATTCAAGGTTGGGTTAGTTCTTGAGGAAATGAAAAGCCATTGTGAGAAGCTGAAGGGAGTGTCTGTATTCCGCTGGTCCAGAAGCCCAGGTCTAGCACTATGTCAGCAGGGAGAGGCGCTGTGGTTTCTGGGTTGTGTGTGTTTCTCCTGGATTTGGGAGGAATCAGGTTTCTTTGTGACTCTCCAGGCCTGACAGTGGAGTGGACAGAAGATGATCTGCAGCAGGGAAAAAGAATCAGTGTCCCAGAAGATGTTTATGACAAGGGTTGCGTGAAAGACGTAGATGAGGGCTTGGAGGTAAATGCAGAGCCTGTGGGGGCCAGGGGAGCCAGAACCGAACTGCCTCTGTCCTGGTAGCAGTTGGCAACTGGCTAACCTCTAAAGAGGTCTGTTTGTCCTTTGCACCCAGGCAGCAGAAAGAATTGGTTTTCCATTGATGATCAAAGCTTCTGAAGGTGGCGGAGGGAAGGGAATCCGGAAGGCTGAGAGTGCGGAGGACTTCCCGATCCTTTTCAGACAAGTGAGCAGTTCTTGCTGTGTCTTTTCGCATCTGTCTTTGGGAATTGTTTGTGGGCTGCCAGATTATTTCTCTTAGCATTATTCTGTGACAGTCAAGAAGACATTTGTAGGAGCTGGATGTATCGTTGTATCGTATTTTGCAACAAACGCGTACATTTTTACTCAGAAAAGCCCATGGTTTTGTGTCGATCTTGACAGAATCTTTTAGGTAGTTCAAGTCTATAAATCAGTGTATCTAGAAATGATTTCAGAGATACAGGATCAAAATAGCTGTTTGTGACTATATTGGCCTATAGAGGAATGGGATATTTTATAAATATTAGTACTCTTGTTATTTCTAATGTTTCTAGATGGTCTATTTTATTTTATTTTTGAGACAGAGTTCACTCTGTCACCCAGGCTGGAGTGCAGTGGCACAATCTCAGCTCACTGCAACCTCTGCCTTCCAGGTTCAAACAATTCTAGTGCCTCAGCCTCCTGAGTAGCTGGGATTACAGGCGTGTGCCACCACACGCAGCTCATTTTTGTCTTTTTAGTAGAGACAGAGTTTCACCATGTTGGCTGGGCTGGTCTCAAACTCTTGGCCTTGAGTGATCCACCCGCCCTGGCCTCCCAAAGTGCTGGGATTACAGGTGTGATCCGCTGCGCCCTGCCTGATCAATTTTAACTGTAGGAACGAATTGCACATTTACTTACTGGTAGCTAGTTTTCCTCTTTTAAAACCTTATGTCCGTTATCAGCAATGTTTAGAAAACATTTATACTGACAATCTTCCCATTCTTAAAGCTATTTTAATATTTCTAGCTTTTCTTCTAGACCTTCTTCATATGTATATTTTAAAGAGCTGTATTCAGTCTACACGAAATTTTGCTCTGCATTTAACACATTCCAAATTGTAGATCATGAATATTATTATGTTATTCCTGCCTTGGCAATTATTTTGATGATTACTCAATATTTTATGTGTGGCAATAGCCTTATTTATGAAACCTTTCCTTTTTTGTTAAATGTTTAGCTTATTTCTACTTTGTTATTATGAATAATAATACCACAGTATAATGTGATATTTAGTACTATAAATAACACTTAGCTCTTTTTTCTTCTTAATTATTTTCTTGGATAAAGACTTGGGGAGAAAGACTTAGTTAAATAGCACACACTTTACATGCACTTTGAAACACATATCAGTACATTGCTTTCTAGGAGTTTTACTAATTATACCACTCTTGGTATAATATGTGAATGTTGTATAAAGCAGCAGTTTCACTACCATTGTATCGCTGTTGGGGTGTACAAGTGTTTTGGGGATTTGGGTGGGGGGAAGAATTGATATTAAAAGGGAAGTTGCAGCAGCAGTACAGAAAGTTCACATCTATCCTTCGCCCGGTTTCACTCGTTAACATTTTTCATATAACTTTGCAACTAAGAGATTAACATGGGCACTTTTCTGTTTGGTAAACTCCAGACTAGATTGAATTTCATCTGTTTTTGCACCAATGTCCCTTTCCTGTTGCAGGATTCAGTCCTGGATTCCATATTGCATTAGGGGTCATACAGATTTTAAAGCTTTTTTGCTTTTTAAAAAATAGACTTTATTTATTAGAGCAGTTTTAGGGTCACAGCAAAATGGAGCGGAAAGAATAGAGAGTTCCCACATACCCCAGGCCCTCATGTGCACACAGATGCCCAAGCTTTTTTATTTTACTTATATGAGTGCACTATGAATATGTTCTTAATGTAGAGAGTCAGTCAAGTCAGCCATGTGTTAAGAATAAAAAAGGAAAAACCCTTTTCCCCATTACCTTCCAACTCTCCTTTCTCAGATGTAACCACTATTAGCAGCTGCCGATGGTGGGGGGCTCTTTTCAGCACTGTCACTGTATATACTTTTACATAGACATTCATACAGTTGTTTCATTATTTTTTGCATGACTTCATCCTATACATTATTGCAAATTTGTTAAACTTAATTTGTCTTAGAAATCATTGCACGTGAATACTTTTCACATTGTCTTTAAGAATCTCTAGAAGACATGCCTATAAAACAATGCCTTTCAGCTCTTAACAGGATGAAGTAAGTTTGTCCTTAGATTCCACCCGGGAGAGCTAGCTGAGAAAGTGCAGTAAGTGGAAGAAAAAGACAACCACAGATTAGTGTGTTTTGGTCCCATTTTCATTCAAAGAAACTTTCTCTGTATGTGTTGCTATATGCATAGAAGAAAGCCAGTTTGGACACCAAACTCTTTAACAGTGCAATATCTTTAGGGGATGTGACTGTGGGAGATTTTACCATTTCACAGAGTTTGACTTAAAAAAGAGAATATGTTGCAGGTAGTGACTATTGGGCTGGCGGTGCAGCTGGTAAAGGAATTTACCAAGACAGCTGTAGGTAAAGAAAGGCAGATTTATTGGAGGAAGTATGAAAATATGTTGCAAGATTGCAACAGGCAGCACAGCAGAGAAGGATCTGTCTGCAAAGAGGCAAGGGCTGGTGGGAGGTTTTATAGGGTGGTGCTGGAGGAGGGGCTGTGAGGTCATTACGTCCTGGGGTTGTTTGTGATTAGCCATCTCTCGAGCAGTTGTTCATTGTTCTTCCCCACCTGGGGCCGTCCCCCACCTGGGGCCCCTTTCTCCTCGTTACTGTGGAGTCGGGACTCCACAGAATATTATGTCTGTGAGACAACAAAAGTAAAAGATCAGCAGAGTCCTGGATGAGTACCCTAAACACATCACTGCGTTTGTTTTATGTTCTCTCCTGAGAACTTCCAGAAGCTTCCAGAGCTGGTTTCCCCATGAAGATCAGGCTGCTCTGCTTCCCCCGACAGGTACAGAGTGAGATCCCAGGCTCGCCCATCTTTCTCATGAAGCTGGCCCAGCACGCCCGTCACCTGGAAGTTCAGATCCTCGCTGACCAGTATGGGAATGCTGTGTCTCTGTTTGGTCGCGACTGCTCCATCCAGCGGCGGCATCAGAAGATCGTTGAGGAAGCACCGGCCACCATCGCCCCGCTGGCCATATTCGAGTTCATGGAGCAGGTACACTTCTCAGAGCCCAGGGGGCAGCTTCAGAGAGAGCCGTCTCAGCTCAGAGTCAGGAAGAACTTTCTACGGTCAGTGTGGCTGAATGGTGGCATGGGTGCCTAACAAGAGGGATGAGGGCCCATTCCAGAGGTGATTTCAGCATCACACAGGTTTATTGGATTAGCCGGTCTGTGAACTCCCCAAATATTTCTTTTCTTTTTTGAGACAGAGTCTCACTGTGTTGCCCACGCTGGAGTGCAGTGGTGCGATGATAGTTCACAGCAGCCTGTAACTCCTGGGCTCAAGTGATCCTCCCACCTCAGCCTCCCAAGTAGCTGGGACTACAGGAACCTGTCACCATGTCTGGCTAATTTTAAAAAAAAATTTTTGTAGAGACAGAGTCTTGCTATGTTGCCCAGGCTGGCCTTGAACTTCTGGCCTCAAGTGATCCTCCCGCCTTGGCCTCCTTAAGCGCTAGGGTGATAGGCATGAGCCACCACACCTGGCCAGTCCCAAAATATTTCACATGTAGCAGGTGCTCAGTCTGCATTTGGTGAAGGAACTGATAGTCACCATTTACAGTTCCCTGAAAAGACCTCTGGAACCCCCTTGGCCTCTTTCTGTTTCTTCACAGTGTGCCATCCGCCTGGCCAAGACCGTGGGCTATGTGAGTGCAGGGACAGTGGAATACCTCTATAGTCAGGATGGCAGCTTCCACTTCTTGGAGCTGAATCCTCGCTTGCAGGTGGAACATCCCTGCACAGAAATGATTGCTGATGTTAATCTGCCGGCCGCCCAGCTACAGGTGAGAAAATGGGCTTGGGGCCCTGGGACTTCTCTGCCCTGGGTCAGGGGTCCATGTGCTGCTCCCATTAGTCCATCCCGCCCATCTCTTGGCCGACTGTCCCAGGGGAATGACTGGCCAAAGAGCACTTTGAGAAATCTGTAAAAGCTATAGTTCTCCCTGGGAAAATATCTTTTATACAATTTCAGGACATTCATAGACCTAGAGAAATGTTTCTTAACCTTGTTATCATTATCACTCCCTGCAAGGATCCTTTGGACACATTTTATATCCTAATCCCTGTCTTGTGAAATTTTAATATCACAAATATACCACATACCTGTTTGGATATTGTAGATATATCTGTGCTTTATTCATGAAAAGAGTGAGATTTTCTTCACTCCCAAGAACAAATATTTGTCTCTTCAGAGGCAATATCATCCCTGTTAAGAATATGTGATCCAGAGTTGTAACCTCTTGGGTTAAAGGGAACTCTAAATTTTTTTTTTATTTTTAATTTTGATGGGTATATAGTAAGTCTGTATATTTATAGGGTGCAAGAGATTTTTGTTTTTGTTTTTGTTTTTTTGAGACGGAGTCTTGCTCTGTTGCCCAGGCTGGAGTGCAGTGGCGCGATCTCGGCTCACTGCAGCCTCCGCCTCCCAGGCATACAATGTGTAATAATCACATCAGGGTAAATGGGTATCCATCCCCCTCCAGCGTTTATCCTTTCTTTGTGTTATGGTGTTATGAATATTCCAATTATACTCTTTTAGTTAATTTTAAAATGTACAATAAATTATTGTTGACTGTAGTCACCCTGTTGTACTATATCAAATAGCAGGCCGTATTCATTCTCTTAATCACTACATTTTTGCGCCCATTAATCATCCTCGCTTTCCATGCCCCTACCTCTTCCTTTCCAGCCTCTGGTAACCATCATTCTACTCTCTGTGTCTGTGAGTTCCATTGTTTTAATTTTTAGCTCCCACAAATGAGTGAGAACATGCAAAGTTTGTTTTTCTCTGCCTGGTTTATTTCATTTAACATAATGTTCTCCAGTTCCATCCACGTTGTTGCAAATCATGGTCTCATTCTTTTTTATGTCTGAATAGTACTCCATTGTGTGTATGTACCACATTTTCTTTTTCCTTTTTCTTTTCTTTTTTTTTTTTTTTTGAGATGCAGTCTCGCTCTGTTGCCCAGGCTGGAGTGTAGTGGTGCAATCTCGGCTCACTGCAACCTCCACCTCTTGGGTTCAAGCAATTATCCTGCCTCAGCCTCCCTAGTAGTTGGGATTACAGGTGCACACTACTATGCCCAGCTAATTTTTGCATTTTTAGTAGAGATGGGGTTTCACCATATTGGCCAGGCTGGTCTCAAACTCCTGACCTCAGATGATCTGCCCACCTCAACTTCCCAAAGTGCTAGGATTACAGGCATGAGCCACTGCACCTGGCCTGTACCACATTTTCTTTATCCAATCATCTGTTGATGGACATTTAGGTTGATTCCAAATCTTGGCTATTGTGAATAGTGCTACAATAAACATGGGAGTACAGATACTCTTCGATATACTGATTTCCTTTCTTTTGAGTATATATTTAGCAGTAGGATTGCTAGATTGGTAGTTCTACTTTTAGTTTTTTAAGGAACCTCCATATTGTCCTCCATAGTGGTTGTACTAATTTTCAGTCCTACCAACAGTGTATGAGGGGTCCCTTTTCTCCACGTCCTTGCTAGCACTTCTTTTTCTGTTTTCTTTTTCCTTTCCTTTTTTTTTTTTTTTTTTTTTTGAGAGTGAGTCTTGCTCTGTTGCCCAGGCTGGAGTACAGTGGTGCGATCTTGGCTCACAGCAACCTCTGCCTCACGGTTCGAACAATTCTCCTGCCTCAGCCTCCTGAGTAGCTGGGACTACAGGCGTGTGCCACGACGCCCAGCTAATTTTTTGTGTATTTAGTAGAGATGGGGTTTCACCGTGTTAGCCAGGATAGTCTTGATCTCCTGACCTCGTGATCTACCCACCTCAGCCTCCCAAAGTGCTGGGATTACAAGCTTGAGCCACCGCGCCCAGCTGCTAGTATTTCTTATTGCCTGTCTTTTGGATAAAAGCCATTTTAACTGGAGTGAGACAATGTCTCATTGTGGTTTTGATTTGCATTTCTCTGATGATCAGAGATGTTGGGTGCCTTTTCCTATGCCTGTTTGCCATTCGTATGTCTTCTTTTGGGAAATGTCTATTCAGATCTTTTGTCTGTTTTTAATTGGATTCATGAGACTTTTTTCCTACTCAGTTGTTTTAGCTTCTTTTTTGTTTTTGAGCCAGGGCCTTGCTCTGTTGCCCAGGCAGGAATGCAGTGGCATGATCATGGCTCACTGCAGTCTTGACCTCCTGGGCTCAAGCGATTCTCCCACATCAACCTCCTGAGTAGCTGAGACTACAAGTGTGCAACACCATGCCCAGCTAACTTTTTAAAATTTTTTGTACAGATAAGGTCTCACTATGTTGTCTAGGCTGGTCTCAAACTCTTGGGTTCAAGCAGCCCTCCCACCTCAGCCTCCCAAAGAGCTGGTGTTACAGGCATGAGTCACCATGCTCATCCTTGAGCTTCTTATGTATTCTGGTTATTAATCCCTCGTCAGGTGGCTAGTTTACAAATGTTTTCTCCCATGCTGTGGATTGTCTCTTCCCTTTGTTGATTGTTTCCTTTGCTGTGCAGAAGTTTCTTAACTTGATGTGATCCCATTTGTCCTTTTTTTGCTTTAGTTGTCTGTGCCTTTGGGGTATTACTCAATAAATTTTTGCCCAGACTGATGTTCCTGAGAGTTCCCCCAATGTTTTCTTCTAGTAGTTTCATAATTTCAGGTCTTAGATTTAAGTCTTTAGTCTATTTTGATTTGAAGAATTTGATTCTTCATTTATGATTCTGCATATGGATATCCAGTTTTCCCAGCACCATTTATCGAAGAGACTTTTTCCCCATTGCATGTTCTTCGCAAGTCTGTCAAAAATCAGTTCACTGTAGATGTATGGATTTGTTTCTGGATTCTCTATTCTGTCCCATTGATCTATGTGTTTGTTTTTATGTCAGTACCACCCTGTTTTGGTTACTGTAGCTCTGTAATATAACTCATAGTCAGGTAATTCAATTCCTCCAGTGTTTGTTCTTTTTTTTCAGGATGGTATTGGCTATTCTGGGTCTTTTGTGTTTCCATATAAACTTTAGGATTTTTTTTTCTATTTCTGTGAAGAATGTCATTGGTATTTTGGTAGGGATTGCACTGAATCTATAGATTGCTTTGGGTAATATAGCCATTTTAACAATACTGATTCTTCCAAACCATGAACATGGAATATCTTTCCATTTTTGTGTGTCCTCTTCAATTTCTCACATCAGTGTTTTATGCTTTTTATTATAGAGACCTTTCACTTCTTTGGTTAAGTTTATTCCAGGGATTTTATTTTGTTTGTAGCTATCATAAATGGAATTACTTTCTTGATTTTTTTTTCCAGACCATTCGCTCTTGGCATATAGAAATGCTACTGATTTTTATATGTTGATTTTGTATCCTGTAGATTTACTGAATTTGTCAATTCGAATTGTTTTTTTGGTGGATTCTTTAGGTTTATCCAATTTTAAGATTATATCATCTGTAAACAAGGATAATTGGACTTCTTCCTTTCCAATTTGGATGTCCTTTATTTCTTCTCTAAATTGTTTTCATTGTTTTCTTCCTTCCTTCCTTCTTTCTTCCCATAATGGGGTCTCATTACGTTGCCCAGGCTGGTCTCCCTCCCTTCCTCTTTTTCTTCCTTCAGCAGAATTTTTTAAAAAGTTTTCTTTATTTTTTTTTCAGTTTGAAAGATTTCAAAAAAGTTGCAAGAATGATACAATTAATACCCATACGCCCTGCATATAGATCCATCAGTTGCCACATTTGCTTTGTCTCTCTTCTGTCTGTTTGTATAATTTTAGGGGGCTCAATCTTTTTTTTTTTTCTTTGAGATGGAGTCTCGCCCTTTCACCCAGGCTGGAGTGCAGTGGTGCGATCTTGGCTCACTGCAACCTCCACCTCCCAGGTTCAAGCGATTCTCCTGCCTCAGCCTCCCGAGTAGCTGGGATTATAGGTGCCTGCCACCACACCCAGCTAATTTTTATATTTTTAGTAGAGACGGGGCTTCACCATGTTGGCCAGGCTGGTCTCGAACTCCTGACCTCAACTGATCAGCCCACCTCGGCCTCCCAAAATGCTGGGATTACAGGTATGCACCACTGTGCCCGGCCGTGGGCTCAATCTTTTGAGCAATGGTTTGAGTGAACCTTCGTAACATATGGCCTCTGAATACTTCATTCTAAAGGCCTCCTACAACAAGAGCATTCCGGTCCAATGCCCTAGTGCAATTATGACACTTGAGAAATAGAGCATTGATACCACATCTATATCTAATATATACCATTCACATTAAATATTTTCCCTGTTGTTCCAATAATGTCTTTTTGTAGCTGTTTTTTGTCTCTTAAATCCAGGATCCAACCCAACCCAGGGTGACACATTCCATTTTATTTTCATGTGTCTTTAATCTCTTTAATCTGAAAGCATTTCGTAGTCTTTTTTCATCCTTGACATTGGCATTAAAATTTTTTTTTTTTTTTTTGGTGATGGAGTCTCGCTCTGTCACTCAGGCTGGAATGCAGTGGTGCAATCACGACTCACTACAGATTCAACCTCCCAGGCTCAAGTGATCCTCCCACCTCAGCCTCCTGAGTAGCTGGGACCACAGGTGCAAGTCACCATGCCTGGCTAATGTTTTTTTAATTTTTTCTGTAGAGATCGGGTCTCATTATGTTGCCCAGGCTGGTCTCCAACTCCTAGGCTCAAGCGATCTGCCTGCTTCAGCCTCCCAAAGTTCTGGGATTACAGGCATGGACACTGGCATTTTTGAGGAGCTCAGGCAGAATGTCCCTCATTGGATTTCTCTGATTGTTTCTTCCTGGTTCGATTCCTGCTACACATTTTGGCAGAATACTACACAGGTGTTGTGTCCTTAATACATCTCATCATGAAGCCTGTTAAATCTGATCATTTGGTTAAGCTGGTTCCATAATTGTCTACTTTTTACCCATTCTTCATGTCCAGTTTCCCCTTCGGGTGCCCTTTACAAAAACTTCCTTTAACTCTGCAGCCAACATGGTTGCTTCTCACCTTCCCTAGCTCTAAAAGTCTAGTGCTTTTACTTGATGCATGTATTTTCTTGTTGTGTGATGTTGTTTCATAAATATTTTTCCTTTTCCCAACTGTACTATTTGCTCCACTGTGAAAAGTTCATGTCTTATGGCTTTTTCTTTCTTTGGCTCTCTGGCCACAGTAGAGCACCATGTTGTCTATAGAGTAGTGTCTGTATATCCTAAATCATTGACTGAACCTCCGTTGCATCTACCACTGTGCCTGGTGTTTTGGGGCCGTGTTCTGGTAGGACTGACAGTCTGTGGGTTGGATCTCTTGATTTTAGATCGCCATGGGCGTGCCACTGCACCGGCTGAAGGATATCCGGCTTCTGTATGGAGAGTCACCATGGGGAGTGACTCCCATTTCTTTTGAAACCCCCTCAAACCCTCCCCTCGCCCGAGGCCACGTCATTGCCGCCAGAATCACCAGCGAAAACCCAGACGAGGCAAGTTATGGGGGCCCCTGTGTTTCCACCATCTCAGATCTCCCAGCATGTGGGGGACCCTGGATGTTAGCCTGGGAAGAGACACCCACAAGCTATCCAGGCATCTCAGTTTACAAATGGGGAAACTGAGGCATGGGAAGGGACATCCCATGGTTTATTTGATTATTGGATTTATTGGATTTTTATTTTTATTTATTTTTATTTTTTTGAGATGGAGTCTCACCCTGTCACCCAGGCTGGAGTGTAGTGGCGCAATCTTGGCTCACTACAACCTCTGCCTCCCAGGTTCAAGCGATTCTCCTGCCTCAGTCTCCCAAGTAGTTGGGATTACAGGCGCCCGCCACCACGCCTGGCTAATTTTTGTATTTTTAGTAGAGACGGGGTTTCACCATATTGGCCAGGCTGGTCTGGAACTCCTGACCTTGAGTGATCCACCCGCCTCGGCCTCCCAAAGTGTTGGGATTACAGGCATGAGCCACCACACCTGGCTGGATTTACTGGATTTTTGGATTATTGCCAGGCTCTGGGCCGAGCCTTCCCATGTCTCACTGCTCACTTATAGGACACTACTGCTGCTGGACATCGTCACCCCACATTACAGGCAAAGAGCCTGGGGTAACTTGCTTCCTGTCTCCCACCTGGGACCTGCTGAGACCCATCAGTGGACTCCAAAAGCCATGCCTATCTTTGGGACAAGCAGCCAGGTTTAGAACCCTAGTCCTTGGATTTCTGGCCCCGTGTGCTTTTTGCTACAGTATGAAGTCTGGCTCATTGTAGAGAGTCCCTTTGTGACTTGGCCTTACTTGGGTCTTAAAAAACAAACCAACTGGCATCCCTTACAGTTTACATGCATACCGACCGTTGATTGTCACAGGACTCATCAATCTACTACAACTTAATTGCTTAATTATTACCCTCAGGAAACTGGGGGTAAGAGAGGGTACACCTCCACCCCTTTTAATTAAATAATTTTAAGCTAGGGTAGCTGTATTCATTTAGGGTTCTTGGCTGTGAACCAAACACCAACTCTGGTGGACAAGCAAAAGGGGAATTTTTTGGAGGGATGATGGCTCGTTCCCAGGTTCCTAGGAGGATGGAGGACCAGGTATGGTAACAGCCCAGGCACTTGGGTCGCTCCATCTCTCACTTCTACATACCTCTCCCCAAATCCTTCATCCCTTAGTTCAGGAGCCCTAATCCCAGTGAGAGGTGCCATGTCCACCCACTCTTACCAAAATTGTACTTAGAGGGAGACGGGCCGTTCTCCCAGAGGGAATCAGGTGTGTGTTGGCAGCAGCCTGGCCGATGGGGTGAGGAAAAGGGGGATGGAGGGAGGGAGGGAGGAAGGGGTAGGAAAGGAAGGAGGGAAGAGGGGAGTGAGGAAGGACGAAGGGAGAGAGGGAAGGAGGGAGGGAAGGAGGAAGGAAGGAGAGAAGAAAGGAAGGAAATACCAACGAAATGGCCTCTTCCCTAGCAGCAAGGGCCCTGCCCAGGATGCCCTGGATTTCTTCACCTGCAGAGGTTTTCATTATCCAGAATTGGAAATCTAACCTGTCTTCACTTCTATTTAAACTTTTTATTTTCGAAATGTCAAGCATATAAAGTCAGAATGTCCCTTCACTCAGCTCCATCAATCATCAATGTTCGCCCATTTAACACCTGCACTACCATCTCTGTCCCAACTCGCTTATTTTATTTATTTATTTATTTATTTATTTATTTATTTATTTATTTATTTGAGACAGGTTCTTGCTCTGTCACCCAGGCGGGAGTGCAGTGGCGTAGTCATGCCTCACTGCAGCCTAATCTCCTGGGCTCAAGAGATCCTTCTGCCTCAGCCCCACAAGTAGCTGGGACTACAGGTGTGTGCCACCACACCTGGCTAATATTTTAATTTTTTGTAGAGATGGGGTCTCCTGATGTTACTCTGGCTGGTTTTGAACTCCTGGGCTCAAGTGATCCTCCTACCTCTGCCTCCCAAAGTGCTGGGATTACAGACATGAGCCACTGCGACTGAACCAACTTCGTTATTTTTTTACAGTTAAAAAAAATAAGAATTATAGGCATTGAGGAGCTCATATGGGTACACCCATGAATAGATACATCCATACCTGTAACAAGCGATATCAGTGTTCTATTGACTACCCTAAGCTTTTGGTCAGCGTAGGGGTTCTTGGGTTTTCCCAGGACTGAATTCTGATGAAAATATATCTGGAGTAATGATTTCTTCCATTTTGCATTTTCTGTCCGGACTCCAGGGTTTTAAGCCGAGCTCCGGGACTGTCCAGGAACTGAATTTCCGGAGCAGCAAGAACGTGTGGGGTTACTTCAGCGTGGCCGCTACTGGAGGCCTGCACGAGTTTGCGGATTCCCAATTTGGGCACTGCTTCTCCTGGGGAGAGAACCGGGAAGAGGCCATTTCGTCAGTATCTCCTTCCTTCCTTCCTTCCTTCCTTCCTTCCTTCCTTCCTTCCTTCCTTCCTTCCTTCCTTCCCTCTCTCCCTTCTTCCCCTCTTCCTTCCCTCTTTCTCCTCCCTTCCTTTCTTCTTCCCTCCCTCTCAGCCTTTCTCCTTTTTTCCTTCCTTCCCTTCCATTGCCTTCCTGCCTTCCTTTCTTCCTTCCTTCCTCCCCTCTTCTGCCCTCCCCTCCCCTTCCATCCCTTCCCCTCCCTTCCTTCCTCCCGTCCTTCCTCCTCCCCTTCCCTTCTTTCCTCCCTTCCTCCCTCCTTCCTTCTTTTCCTGACTTCTCTGCTTTCCTCCCCCTCCCTTTCTTCCTCCTTCTTTCCTTCCTTCCTTCTTTCCCTCCCTTCCCACTTCCTCCTTTTCCCAATTCCTTCCTTTAAGAAATGAAACGGTCCCCTGGGGCTTCAGATACAGTAGCATTTCAGGAGACCAAGAAAAGTAAATCACAGGGTAGGCCCCATTTAAAATACCCTGTGCTTGAAGTTCAAGATCAAAGCCTGCCCTTTTTTTCCTTTATTGAAGATCCACAAAGTAAAATAAGTGCACCAAGGTCATTTGGTCTTGAGCTTATAAGAGTTCTAGCTTGAAGGAGATCTAAAGATTGTTCTAGGAGATACCCAAAGTGTAAAAGGTGCTAAGTACCATAGCTGAAGAAAGGGGGAGGGAAACTCCTTTACATTTAAACCTTATCAGTAGTTCCCTAATGGGTTGTATTTCACACCGAAGACTAAATTTTAAGGAGTGTGTCCTGCTGTGAACCACCCACCACTCTGAGGCCTGTGACAGCAGCCCCATGTCCCCAGCTCAGCCAAGTCCTCCCATACTTGTGATAGTTTCTGCAGAGCTGAGAAGCCCACATTGACAGAGGGACCCCCAAATTCTGACACACCATCTCCGACACTTCTCCTGGCTTGACATGGGTGTGGAAAGGTATAAAACTAGTTTACTTTGTAATTAAATGTTTTTGTGTGGGTAACTGCCCTTCGGAGTGAAAAAATCCCAAAGGCCTTAGCATTAAAATCTGACGTGGGGCACTTAGCCACGAATTAAATTGAGTTGGGCAGTTTTGATGATCAGGTTTTCTTTGCCAGCTTAGAATAATTAATTTTAATCATGCTTAGTGAAAAATCAAGATCCTTGAAGTTTATGGAAGATTGCAGCAAAAAGGGCTTACTTAATAGGAGTAGGCGGAAGACAGGTCAGCCAGCCCAGACCCCTCCGAGTGAAGTGACCTGTGGCTTGTCACATGCTACGAGTGGACCAACCGCAACTTCAACAGAACTCACAGGCAGAAATTCCAGCTTTTCTTATTGCTGTTAGTGAGAGTCCAGTAGGGGGATCAACTGTCCTCGTTTTCCTGGCACCGGTTTCTCAGGTTGAAGGACTTCTCAGTGCTAAAATGGGGACCACCCCAAGGAAACTGGGACAAGTCACTCACCCGTGAGACCAGCGGGTTAACTCTCATACCCAGCTTCCAGACCCACAGCTGACTTTTCATGGCCTATGGATACCCTTGTATGACCTTACTGGGTCTTCATTTTCTCACCCCCAAAATGGGGTCATCAGTGTCCTTCCCCGTTACCTGCTGACAGCACACAGGATGCTGCAAGACATGAAAGCTTACTCGGCCAGGCACAGTGGCTCATGCCTGTAATCCCAGCACTTTGGGAGGCCAAGGCGGGCAGATCACTTGAAGCCAGGAGTTCAAGACCAGCCTGGCCAACATGACGAAACCCCGTGTCTACTAAAAATACTGAAATTAGCCGGGCATCCTGGTGGCCATCTGTAATCCCAGCTACTCGGGAGGCTGAGGCAGGAGAATTGCTTGAACCTGGGAGATGGAGGTTGCAGTGAGCTGAGATCGTGCCATTTCACTCCAGCCTGGGCAACAAGAGTGAAGCTCCGTCTCAAAAAAACAAAAAAAAGAAAAAAAGAAAGCTTTCTCTCCCAGAAGAAGAGGTGTTCAGATACCTGCCCACACTCACCATGAATTCATAGGGCTCAGCTTCCCGAGTAGCTGGGACTATAGGCGCGTCCCACCACGCCCGGCTAGTTTTGTATTTTTAGTAGAGACGGGATTTCTCCATGTTGGTCAGGCTGGTCTCGAACTCCTGACCTCAAGTGATCCACCCGCCTTGGCCTCACAAAGTGTTGGGATTACAGGCGTGAGCCACTGCACCTGGCCTGAGGTTTAGCTATTTGAACTGGTGCTCTTGGAGATTTGGAGTCTGTGTGTTGGGGAGAGGCAGCCATGGGGCCCACCAGGCCCCTGAGCCGGGTGACAGTGCCGTCCATCTGCAGGTGCACCCCACACACACCAGGCAGAGCAGCTGTGTGGAAGGTGAGAGGGTGGCACCAGCTCTGGGGACAGGAGATTTGAATAGGTCAAGGGAGAGACAGAGGCGGTGACCGATTTTCCCTTTGTTTTTTTTTCTTCTTTTAAGAGATAGCGTCTCACTGTGTTGCCCAGGCTGGAGTGCAATGGTGTGATCATAGCTCACTGCAGCCTCAAACTCCTGGGCTCAAGCGATCCTCCCCCTTTAGCCTCCTGAGTAGCTGGGACTACAGTCACATACCATCACGCTTGGCTGATTTTAAAATTTTTGTAGAGATGGCGTCTCATTATGTTGCCCAGGCTGGTCTTGAACTCATGCCTCAAGCAATCCTCCCGCCTCAGACTCCCAAAGCAGTGGGATTACAGGCATGAACCACCATGCCTGGCTGGTTCTTTCTCTACTAATCATTAACTATTATAGTCAATAATTATAACAATAATAACTAATCACGTTCATTGTAGTTAACATTTATTGATCAGTGACCATGTGCATTACATGGATTGTCTCATTTCAATTCTCGAACACCCTCATGAAGTCAGGGCTATTTCCCCATTTTCCATATGAGGAAACTGAGGCCCAGAGTTCTCAAGTCACTTGGCCAAGATTAGCCAGGCAGTAAACCCTGGCGCTGATTCAATGCACTGGCTGTGTCAGTCAGAGCCCTCTCTTAACTCTTCTTTTTTTTTTTTTTTGGAGACAGAGTCTTGCTCTGTCGCCCAGCCTGGAGTGCAGTGGTGTGATCTCAGCTCCCTGCAACCTCTGCCTCCCAGATTCAAGTGATTCTCCTGCCTCAGCCTCCTGAGTAGCTGAGATTACAGGCGTCCTCCACCATGCTGAGCTAAGTTTTGTATTTTTGGTAGAGATGGGGTTTCGCCATGTTGGCCAGGCTGGTCTTGAACTCCTGACCTCAAGTAATACACCTACCTCAGCCTCCCAAAGTGCTGGGATTACAGGCGTGAGCCACCACACCCGGCCACTCCTGTGCTTTTCCAGTTCTCTGAATCACATCATTGCAGCAACTCTGTTGATGTATGCATGAATTTGGAAAATGATCCATGTGCCTTTCCCTTCAAGGAACATGGTGGTGGCTTTGAAGGAACTGTCCATCCGAGGCGACTTTAGGACTACCGTGGAATACCTCATTAACCTCCTGGAGACCGAGAGCTTCCAGAACAACGACATCGACACCGGGTGGTTGGACTACCTCATTGCTGAGAAAGTGCAGGTAGGGAGTGAGCTGCCTGTGTCTCCCCTCTGGATGGCCGAGACCTCGGCTTCCTGAGGATACTGAAGTGCATTTTCTCCTAGGCGGAGAAACCGGATATCATGCTTGGGGTGGTATGCGGGGCCTTGAACGTGGCCGATGCGATGTTCAGAACGTGCATGACAGATTTCTTACACTCCCTGGAAAGGTAGGGGCTGTGGCAGTTCCCTTCTGCTTTTGTGATATGTGTTAGCGGCTTAGGAGGCTGAATCTGTCTCCTTTATTTGTGTGGCCAGTTAGTCACCAGGCAATTGGTGAGTCTCTCCTCCGGTCTTGCCTCTGGGAAATTCCTCTACAGATCAACCTAGGCTACCCTTGAAGAGGCTGTGGGTTAGGGAATGGGATTCTCGAGGCCAGGGTGGCAGTCAGTGAACAGGCTGTTGTGTACGGATCCATGCTGACTTGTGTAAGGTACATCATAATAGTCAGGAGTTCTGAGTTCAAGGAGGTGGATTTGGGAAGCAAAGCGGCTTAAAGGTCATCTCTACAAGCGGGTGCATTCCCAGACCCTCACCAGAATCAGAGGGTCATCATGAAATGGACCAGAATGGAAAGCAACCAGGCGATCTCTGTTAGGATAGGCCGGGGTTTCTCAGCCTCAGCACCATTAACATTTTGTGCTGGATGCTTTTTTTTTGTTTGGGAACCTGTCCCGTGCATCATAGGATGTTAGCAGCATTCCTGGCCTCTACCCACTAAATGCCAGGAGCAGCCCTTCCCTCTGAGTCATGACAATCAAATATATCTCCAGACATTGCCCAATGTCCCAGGGTTAGGAGTAGAATAATCACCCCCAGTTGAGAACTGCTGCAAGAGGCAAAGGAACTATCAAAAAGAAAATAAAAGGATAAACTTTTTTTTTTTTGAGACAGAGTCTTGCTCTGTCATCCAGGCTATCACCCAGGCTAGAGTGCAGTGGTATGATCACAGCTCACTGCAGCCTGGACTTCCTGGGCTCCAGTGATCTGCCCACCTCAGCCTCCCAAGTAGTTGGGACCACCGGTGCATGCCATCATGCCTGGCCAATTTTTTTAACTTTTTGCATAGATGGGGTCTCACTATGTTGCCCCCCAGGCTGGTCTCAAACTCATGGCCTCAAGCAATCCTCCTGCCTCAACTCTGAAAGTGCTGAGATTATAGGCGTGAGCCACTGTGCCTGGTAAGAAATGTTTTTAGTGTTTGGTTATGCTTTTGAACGGTAGTAGAATCACAGTCCCTGCTCTGGTTTCTTTCATAAGCCGAAGGCAGGATCCCATATGTGAAATTTTTCCAAGAGACCGTTATGGATTTTGCTCCTGAAAAGCCTTTGTAAGATTTCAAATCCCTCAGCAAGTGCTGATTCCTTAAGTTCTAAGCAATATCAGGCTGCTCAGGGTGATTCAGGTTCTGTGCGTGACTTTTAATCAGATTTAGCCTTTTTTTTTTTTTTTTTTGAGACATAGTCTCGCTCTGTCACACAGGCTGGAGTGCAATGGTGTGATCTCAGCTCACTGCAACCTCCGCCTCCTGCATTCAAGCAATTCTTGTGCCTCAGCCTCCCGAGTAGCTGGGATGACAGCTGCATGCCACCACGCCCGGCTAATTTTTGTATTTTTAGTAGAGATGGGGTTTTGCCATGTTGGCCAGGCTGGTCTCGAACTCTTGGCCTCAAGTGATGTGCCTGCCTCAGCCTCCCAAGGTGCAGGGATTACAGGCGTGAGCCATTGCGCCCAGCCCAGGCTTAGCATTTTTAGTGCAGTCAGGTTTGCTGATGCAGAGAGTTGCGTAATTTTTTTAAATGCAAGGGATGGCTGTGGAGTTCTCAGTCCCTCCCAAGGCTGACCACAACCCTGTCTTTTCTTTCAGGGGCCAGGTCCTCCCAGCGGATTCACTACTGAACCTCGTAGATGTGGAATTAATTTACGGAGGTGTTAAGTACATTCTCAAGGTAAATGCCCCCGTGCCTCTCCGATGTCTCCAACACTCTGCAAGCTTCAGGGAGTTTCTTTCTTCCATGAACCATCCCTGGAGTGGATTTGCTCATGCTTGGGTTTGAGCTCTTGTGTTCCTCGGGAATCCCCATGTAGTCCGTGACCTTGACACCTAAACACTTTGGCTTTTAGAACATGTAGGGCTGTGCATTCTGCAGAGGGCACAATGGAGCGTGGATAAGTTTCCTGTAGCTGCGGTAACAAGGTACCACAAACTGGTTTAAACCAACAAAAATTTATTGTGTCCCAGTTCTGGAAGCCAAGTCTAAAATCGAGGTGTTGGCGGGCCGTGGTCTCTCTGAAGGCGCTGGGGCAGGATCTGTTCCGAGCCTCCCCAGCTTCTGGTGCTGCTGGCAGTCCCTGGTGATTTTTGGCTTGTGGATGCCTTGCCCCAGTCTCTGTCTCTGTTTTTTTTTTTTGTTGTTGTTGTTGTTGTTTTTTCAAACGGAGCCTCACTCTGTCACCCAGGCTGGAGTGCAGTGGCTCAACCTTGGCTCACTGCAACCTCCATCTCCCAGGTTCAAGCAATTCTTCTGTCTCAGCCTCCTGAGTAGCCGAGATTATAGGCATATGCCACCATGCCTGGCTAATTTTTGTATTTTTAGTAGAAATGGGATTTCACCATGTTGCCTAGGCTGGTCTTGAACTCCTGAGCTCAAGTGATCTGCCCTGCCTTGGCCTCCCAAAGTGCTGGGATTACAGGCATGAGCCACCCCCCAACCTCTGCCTCTGTGTGTGCATGTGTGTGTGTGTGTGTGTGTGTGTGTGTGTGTGTGTTTACATTGGCCTCCCAAAGTGCTGGGATTACAGTCATGAGCCACCCCCTGGCCTCTGCCTCTGTGTGTGTGTGTGTGTGTGTGTGTGTGTGTGTGTGTGTTCACATTATCTTCCATGACTGTGTCTTTGTGTCTCTTCTCTTGTAAGAACACCAGTCACATTGGATTTAGCGTCCACCCTAATCCAGTATGATTTCATCTTAATTACATCTGCAGAGACCTCATTCCAAATAAGGTCACATTCCAAGGTTCCAGGAAGGCCATGAATTTTGGAGGATATTATTCAACCCCTATAGAATGTGAGCTGGGCCTTTGCTGAGACAGAATAGTGGGCCCGGGTCTGTTTCCAGGGGCTCTGAGGCTGGTTTTGTTCTCTGTCTCTGCACCACGTGTAGATTACTGGCATCTTCCCTGGTTTACTACTGGAGTCCCTGGGGCTTATTCCGGTTGCTCTCCTCTGTCAGAAGTGCCTAGTTGCCCTTTGTGGGCCATCCAAGGTCAATTCAACAGTGTCAGAAATGTCTCTGAGATGCACAGGTAGGGGGTGAGGCTTGGTGTCCTAGCCATGGTGTTCTGGGCCCAGGGTCCTTGTTGGGGTGAGCCGGCTGTGGCATCAGTGCCCCGGGTTCCAATGCAATGGCAGGAGGCTGTGTCCCCTGTAAGCCCAGGCCTGCCCAGTACTTCCCAGCCTCACATTGTCAGGAGGGAAAAGAGGACAGAGTTTGAGTCTGCTTATGAGACAGAATTTTTGTTTTCTTTAATTAGTACTTTCTATTTAATATTGATGAGCATGAGTAGAACTCACAACTTTGGAGATTTGGGGGCTTTAGTTCAACTAAACCTGTGTGTCATTGATCAGGGTATGCTTTCACAATCATCCTCCTTTGCCCCTAATGCCTCTTGGCTACCTTTGGGGACCTAGCTGCCCCCAACTTGATTTTAAATGTCACATATGCACAATGTAGAAAATTTCAAAATTTCAAGCGAGCATAAAAAATCAGGAAAACAAATCCATCATGTGCTAATGCCTAGAGGTAATCCTGGTAAACATTTTAGCAAATCTTTGTTATATATTTTTTTCCTTTTGCATTAATTTTACAAAGTTGAGATCATGGTGCAAATGCAGTTTTACAGCTTTGATATGATCATGGCATAAAGTTTTCCATGTTATTAACAAGTTTTTTTTTTAACACGAGTCTAAACTCATGTCTGTGGCACTGTCTCCCTGAACTTTTAATAGTGATGGGAACATTCCCTATCTTCTGTGTCCAAGATGCTGCCCTTATGTGGTGACTGAGAGCTTGAAAGTGGCCAGTGTGACTGAGGAACTGAATTTTACATTTTATTTCATTTTGATCAGTTTAAATAGCTGTGTGTGGTTAGGGGTCACCGTATCAGACAGGGCAGATCTAAAGTGTTCCATTGCAAGGTTGTTGGCTTGCTAATTTTGTTCTAATTTTTGTTGTTATTACAAATAATGCTGCAATACACATTCCTCTATTTCTTGCTGCCTTGTGTCATAAACTGTGAATTTTATAGGTTGAAGGCCCTTTAGGGTGTGTGTTTTCTGAGAGAAAACTGAACTGAAGTACCAGATGGGGCAGGCGCTCTTCCTGGAGGGAGATGTAGTGCTGGGGCCAGGGCTTGGCTGTGTCTCTCTCACGTGTCCCAAAGCTCTTGTGTGCTCCTGGGCAGAGCTGGGTCTGGGAAGCAGAGCCCTAGTCCATGTCCAGGTGTCTTAGTCCATTTGGGCTACTGTCGTAAAATACCAAAGACTGAGTGGCTTCTAAACCACACACTGAATTTCTCACAATTCTCTAGGCTGGGAAGGTCAATATCAAGATACTGGCAGATTTGGTATCTACTGAGGACCCACCTTTCGTTTCATAGATGCTGTCCTTTCGCTATGTCCTTAGATGTCAGAAATGGGCCACAGAGCTCTACAGGGGATCTTTTATAAGGGCACTAATCTCTTTTACAAGGGCCCCACCTTCATGATCTCATCACCTCCCAAAGGCTCCACCTCCTAAAGCCATCACATTAGGGGTTGGGATTTCAACTTATGAATTTTGCGGGGACACAAACGTTTAGTCCATTGCACCTGGCTGCTGGTGGAGTCTCCAGGGCTGCCTCACACAGAGTGAGAGCTGGAGACAGGAATCAGAAGGGAGTCTCTAGCCCCAGAGGACATGCAGTTGCCAACACGGCTTGACAGGGACTATATAAGCGGCCATTAGCCTACCCACAGGGCAGGTGTGGCTCGCTACTCCAGGCCTCCCCCAGCCCCATCAGCAGCTGCTCCCTTGGCAGGAATTGTGAGGGCTGGGTCCGAGAGACGGGGGTGTTCATCTTGGCCCTCTGTGGTGGACAACCAGCTCTTGTTTGTTGTTAGCGGGGCCCAGCAGTGCTCTGGGAGCACATCCTGAACCCAGGCGGTGACAAGGGGCTTGTCCCCACAGGTGGCCCGGCAGTCTCTGACCATGTTCGTTCTCATCATGAATGGCTGCCACATCGAGATTGATGCCCACCGGCTGAATGATGGGGGGCTCCTGCTCTCCTACAATGGGAACAGCTACACCACCTACATGAAGGAAGAGGTTGACAGGTGCGTGGGGGTGCGAGTCCCACTGTGGGCTGGGCATGCACAGCTCTCTGTCCTAGGCATGGAAAACACAGCACTGGCCTGTGTGCAGGTCCAAGGGTCTTAGAGAAGGTGCCTTTCTGGTAAATTCTGGGGGTGTGCAGAGAAGTTAATCTCTTGGTTGGAATTCTGTGCAACTGGCAGATATTTAGGGGAGGATCCTAGGAGGCCCTTTTCTAGTAACCTGGTTGGTGGGGATTCAGAGCTGAACGGGACATGACTCCCAGCTCTGTGGCCTGCGAGGTGTGTGACCAGGTGCCTGCTGCCTGTGCATCTGGGCTCTGGCATCCACCCAGTTAGTGCGGCAGTGACCTACTAAGCTCCTCCGTACCAGGCGCTGTGCTGGGTGTTGGGATAGCATTCTGGGTGTGACTCGTGGAGCTTCCAGCCCATTCGGGAAGATGACACACTGAACAAACAGATAGTGGCAGGAAAGGGTGTCGTGTACCTGACGGGTAACACACAAGATGCCCTGGAAGCTCTTAGCACAGGGGCTTGTGAGATAGTGAGATAGGCCCCAAAGATGCCCCGCCTCCAGTGTGTCTGATCACCCCGAGATCACGCAATGAAACAGACCCCAGCCAAGGTGATGAAAGGGGAGGGGATGTCTGAAAAGCTCCAGTTAGAGAGTGGAGACTCTCTTCTCAATCCTCAATGTTTTGGAAGAAGGAAGACTAGGTTTATGCCAGAGTAATATTTTGTTATCTCCTTTTTTTTCTTTTTGAGAGAGGGTCTCGCTCTGTCACCCAGGCAGGAGTGCAGTGGCACCATCATGACTCACTGCAGCCTCAACTTCCCTGGGCTCCGAGATGATCCCCCCACCTCAGTCCCCCAAGTTGCTGGGACTACGGGCATGTGCCACCACGCCTGGCTAATTTTTGTATTTTTTGTAGAGACGGGGTTTTGCCATGTTGCTCAGGCTGGTCTTGAACTTCTGGACTCAAGCAGTTGGCCAGCCTTGGCCTCCCAAAGTGCTGGGATTGCAGTCATGAGCCACTGCACCCTGCCTGTTATCTCTTTTTTAACCCACGTTCTATCTGCCAAGAATGTTCAGGATTACTATAGGTTCTACTCTCCCCAGTTCAAAGGTTAAGACTTTGAATCAGTAAATATTTGTTGAATCATATCCACTGATTGATTTTTCTGTGTCAGGCCCTGTTGGAAGTATGTCAGTAAAAGGAACCAGCTTTCAGCCAAAAAAGGGTCACATCCTTTTTATTATTTTATTTTATTTTAAAGACTGGTTCTTACTCTGTTGCCCAGCCTGGGCAAGAGTGAGACCCTGATCGCTTGAGTCCAGAAGTTTGAGACCAGTCTGGGCAACATGGCAAAACCCCATCTCTATAAAATACAATGATTAGCCAAGTGTGGTGGCGTGTGCCTGTAGTCCCAGCAATTTAGGGGGTTGTGATGGGAGGATCACCTGACCCCAGGGAGGTCAAGGCTTCAGTGAACCATGATTGTGCCACTGCACTCCAGCCTGGGTGACAGAGTAATTATAGCTCACAATAGCCTCAAACTCCTGGGCTCAAAGGATTCTCCTGCCTCAGCCTCCTGAGTAGCTGGGACTACTGGCATATGCTACCACGCCCAGCTATTTTTTTTTTTTTATTTTTTGTAGAGGCAGGGTCTCACTGTGTTGCCCAAGCTTGTCTTGAACTCCTGGCCTCAAGCCATCCTCCCACCTCGGCCTCCCAAAGAAAGCATCACAGCCTTGGCCAGGCACAGTGGCTCACGTCTGTAATCCCAGCACTTTGGGAGGCTGAGGCGGGCGGATCATGAGGTCAGGAGATCGAGACCATCCTGGCTAACATGGTGAAACCCCATCTTTACTAAAAATACAAAAAAAAATTAGCTGGATGTGGTGGTGGGCGCCTGTAGTCCCAGCTATGCGGGAGGCTGAGGCAGGAGAATGGCGTGAACCCGGGAGGCGGAGCTTGCAGTGAGCCGAGATCGCGCCACTGCACTCCAGCCTGGGCAACAGAGCGAGACTCCGTCTCAAAAAAAAAAATAAAATAAGAAAGCATCACAGCCTTTTTGTTCACCCACCTCACTCTCAGTGTCTCTGAGATAACTATCAACTGCCACCCTTTGGGAATGTAGAGGGTACACTCCCCCTTTAGGAAGGGGAAATGGTATTGAAAGCCGGACTAGGGCTTGCTGAGTTGGTAGTCCTCATCAGTCTCCCTACCCGACTCCTCCTCTCTCCCAGTTACCGAATTACCATCGGCAATAAGACGTGTGTGTTTGAGAAGGAGAACGATCCTACAGTCCTGAGATCCCCCTCGGCTGGGAAGCTGACACAGTACACAGTGGAGGATGGGGGCCACGTTGAGGCTGGGAGCAGCTACGCTGAGATGGAGGTGACTGCAGAGCCGGCCGTGGGGAATCCTGAACCCTCAAACTCCCACTCTTCTGGCTTTGTCCCATGTCTGAACAAACAGGCCTACCTCTCCCCTTGACCACTGTCTGCAAATTTCTAAGGGAATCAGTCTGTGGATTTCAGCCAAATCCCCTGAAGTATTCAAAGAAAAAAACTTCAGGCTGGGCGTGGTGGTTCACGCCTGTAATCCCAGCACTTTGGGAGGCTGAGGCGGGCGGATCACGAGGTCAGGAGATCAAGACCATCCTGGCTAACATGGTGAAACCCCGTCTCTACTAAAAATACAAAAAATTAGCCGGGCATGGTGGCAGGCGCCTGTAGTCCCAGCTATGCAGGAGGCTGAGGCAGGAGGATGGCGTGAAGGCAGGAGGATGGCGTGAACCCAGGAGGCGGAGCTTGCAGTGAGCTGAGATGGCGCCACTGCACTCCAGCCTGAGCGACAGAGAAAGACTCCGTCTCAAAAAAAAAAAAAAAAAACTTCAAAAAATGCACATCTCCCCAGGAATGAGTAAGAAGGTTAATGACAGAGAAACTGGGTACAGAGAATATGGAAACTCTCTGTACTATTTACATAACTGTTCTATAAACTGTTGTGTAAATCAGTTTCCTTGATTTCTTTATTTTTTTTTTGAGACAAGTCTCAGTCTGTCACCCGGGCTGGAGTGTAGTGGCGTGATCTTGTCTCACTGCAAACTCCGCCTCCCAGGCTCAAGTGATCCTCCCACCTCAGCCTTCCAAGTAGTTGGGATTACAGGCACGCACCAACATGCCTGGCTTAATTTTTTGTATTTTTGGTAGTGACAGGGTTTCGTCATGCTGCTCAAGCTGGTCAAATACCTGAGCTCAGGTGATCCACCTGCTTTGGCCTCTGAAAGTGCTGGGATTGCAGGCATGAGCCACTGCACACAGCCAAGAATTGATTGATAATAACAATTATTGTCAATCAATGATTAAATATTAAATATTGACCCCAGCAATAATTGAAAGGTGTTAAGCCAACACTTGCAAAGCCATAACCATGTGGCAGGTGCTGTTCTAAGCATTTTACTGATCTTTATTTTTTAACCTTCCCAGCAAATATATGAGATGGGCACAAATGTGATCCCCATTTTATAAAAAAGCTGGGCCCAGGCAGGCTAAGAAACTCACTGGAGGTCACACAAAGCCAGGATTCAAACCCGGAAAATAACAACAATAATAGCAATGAAAATACATCAATAATAGTAGCTACTGCATATTGACCTGCTGCATGGCAGGATCTGCATCTCATTCAATCCTCGTAAGAGCCCTAAGAGGTGAAACTGTCATTATTCCTCATTTTACACTTGGGGAAACTGAGGCTCAAGGAGGGGAGCCACTTCTGAAGATCACAGAGGTATTGGTGGGGGCAGTTCCTGGGATTCTAGTCCAGGCCTGGCTGACTTGGGTGCCCAAGCTGTGAACTGCCAAGCAAGAGAGATAGCACAGTCCTGGCTCTGCGGCCGCCACCATGGTGACAAAGCTCATGCCACGCACGTATCCAGACATTCGGGAAAATTAAAAGGGCTGATGAGCAGATTCTTCATTTCACAGAGTGTTCCCTGAGGGTTTTCTAAGTGCCTTTAATAAAACAAACTGTTCACAAAATGTTTGATTTATGCAGTACGTTTTAGGAACGTGTATATGAACCACTCTATGTAATATGATTTAACAGTATTTCTAAGAGAAGACTCCCCCTTTGGAAATAAACATCAGTTTCCATATCTGTAAAATGGGCATCATAAACACCTCCTTGGCTGGCTTTGCAGATTGAATGGCACTTGCCTGGCACTTAGCAGGCTTCCAGTAAAGGTCACTTTTCCTTGTACCTTCTGCCTGAACACTACCCAGGGAGTCATTCTGGCGCGTCCCTGGGTAGTGTCCCGGCGCGTCCCTGCTCCGGCATCACTAGTTCTGGGTGGCTCTGGGTGTCAATCCCGGTGGGCTCTGTACTATTTCTTCTTTTTACGAAATAGGTGATGAAGATGATCATGACCCTGAACGTTCAGGAAAGAGGCCGGGTGAAGTACATCAAGCGTCCAGGTGCCGTGCTGGAAGCAGGCTGCGTGGTGGCCAGGCTGGAGCTCGATGACCCTTCTAAAGTCCACCCGGTATGTGGCTCCACGGCCCAAGTGCTCTGGCTGGTGCAGGTGCACTCGTGACCTCCACTGGTTCAGTGAGACAGGTGGACTCAAGGCTGGTAGCGCTTCTCCTGCCTCCACCTGCAGACAGAGCTCGTCGCAGCAGCCACCGTGATGGTGCAGAAACACAAGGAAGCCGCGCCCTGCTTTACTCAGATCCCTCTCTGTGGCTCTCCATCCTGCTTAGAGCAAAACCCAATTTCTGCCAGTGACCTGCAAGACCCCAAATGAGCTAGCTGTTCCCTGCTTTCTTCTCTGCCTTTCTCCTCTGTCCCTCTCCCCATCACTTACTTGAATACACTGGACCCCTCCCTCCTGGCGGCTGTCCTCTCTGCTGTGAAGGACCTACCCCAGACTTTGCAGGGATCACTCTCAACTCCTGGGAGCTTTGATTCCAATGTCTTCCCCTCAATGAGGGCATTCTTGACCATTGACCACCTTTTCTTTTTAATAGACTTAATTTTTAGTATAGTTTTAGATGTACAGAACAGTTATGTAAGTAGTGCAGAGTTCCCATATTCTCTGTGGCCAGTTTCCCTGTCATTCATTTAATTATCATTCAATTAATTGTTAGTATTATTATTATTATTCATTTTTTTTTGAGACAGACTCTCGCTCTGTCGCCCAGGCTGGAGTGCAGTGGCGTGATCTCGACTCACTGCAACCTCTGCCTCCCTGGTTCAAGTGATTCTTCTGCCTCAGCCTCCTGAGTAGCTGGGGATTATAGGTGTGTACCACCATACCAGCTAATTTTTGTATTTTTAGTAGAGACAGGGTTTCACCATGTTGGCCATGCTGGTCTTGAACTCCTGACCTCAGGTGATCCACCCTCCTCAGCCTCCCAAAGTGATGGGATTACAGGTGTGAGCCACTGCACCTGGCCTCAATTAATTACTATTGTTATCAATTTACTGTTATTAATTTAACTATTATTGCACGAGCATGGTCCATTTGTCATATTTAATGAACCAATATCGATATATTAGGTATTATTGTTTAAGAATAATAATTAACTTTAAAATTTAACTATTATTGCAATAATATGGTCCATTTGTCACATTTAATGAACCAATATTGGTACATTATTGTTCACTCAGATTTCTTTAGTTCATTTTTTAAAAATTGTGGTTAAATACACATAACAAAATTTACCATCTTAGCCATTTTTAAATGTTCTCTTGAGCAGTATTAAATCCATTCACATTGTTGCACAGCCATCACCATCATCCATCTCCAGCACTTGCAAAACTGAAACTTGACACTCGTTAAATGGTAACTCCTGAGTCCCTCCTCCCTCCAGCCCCTGGCAACCATTGTTCTGCTTTCTGTCTATCAATTCAACTCCTCTAGGTGCCTCATATAGGTGGAATCTATATAGTATCTGGCCTTTTGTGACTAGCTTATTTCATTTAGCGTAACGTCTCCAAGTTTCATCCATCTGATAGCATGTGGCAGAATTTCCCTGTTTTTTAAGGCTGCATAATATTCCCTTGTAGGGGTGAATCACATTTTGTTTATCCACCCATCCACTGATGGACACTTGGATTGTTTCTACCTGTTGGCTACTGTGAATAAGGCAGCTATGAACATGAGTGTACGATTTTCTTAGTTTTTACCTATTGTCCAGGATCCCATCCAGGTTAGCACATTGCATATAGTTGTCAGGTCTCTTTCAACCGCCCTTTAAAAAATTGTGCTCACCTCCACCCACGTGCAAACACACACCGTACCTCACAAAGATGATCTCACTGATTGTCTTGTTGCTTTATTATTTGGCCTCCAGGAGACTGGAAACACCGTGAGAACAGGGCCTTTTGGCTTTCTTGCTCGCTGCTGGGGCCCCAGTGCCAAAAACAGGGCCTAGTACATCAGAGGTGCTCTGTAAATATTGGTTGTTGGATGAACGTGTAGCAGGCAGGTGCCGGGGGCGTCCCCCTGTCCTCAGGACCACCAGGGGGTGCACCAGAGTGTCTGTCATGTGACCCTGAGCTCAGGCTCTTGGGGGCACCTCCAATTTAGATTCCTCTTAATTTGTCAAGCTGTGTCATTACCGATGAGTCCCTGAGGTCAAGGACTACTTTCGATGTCCACTGTTGTGATCCTGGGGCTTAGCACAGTGCTCGGAGCATAGTGGGTGCTCAGAAATAACAAGTCTTGATGAATGAATGAATGTTTACACCCTCCTAAGCAAGACTCTAAAATAATTAGTACATCTGTCCAGTAAAAAAAAAATTTAAAAATATCACATGGTCTCTTTTCTCCAGAGTATTCTATTAATTGTATTTGTTTTCTTTTTTAAAAAAATTATAATTATTATGGGTACATAATAGGTGTACATGTTTATGGGGGTACATGTGATCTTTTGGTATAGGCATACCGTCTAATAATCAAATCAGGGTGATTGGGGTATCTATTACCTCAAGCATTTTTCATTTCTTTGCGCTAGGAACATTCCAGTTCTACTCTTTTGGTTAGTTTAAAATGTACAGTCGATTTTAATTGACTGTAGAGTCACCCTGTTGTGCTATCAATACTATATCTTTTTTTTTTTTTTTTTTTTGAGATGGAGTTTTGCTCTTGTCGCCCAGGCTGGAGTGCAGTGGCGTGATCTCAGCTCACTGCAACCTCTACCTCCAGGGTTCAAGCAATTCTCGTGCCTCAGCCTCCTGAGTAGCTGGGACTTAAGGCACCTGCCACTATGCCCAGCTAATTTTTGTATTTTTAGTAGAGATGGGGTTTCACCATGTTGGCCAGGCTGATCTCGAACTCCTGACCTCAGGTGATCCGCCCACCTCAGCCTCCCAAAGTGCTGGGATTACAGGTGTGAGCCACCATGTCCAGCCTCAATACTAGATCTTATTCATTCTATCTAACTGGATTTTTGTACCCGTTAACCATCCCCACTCCCACCAGCCCCACTACCCTTCCCAGACCCTGGCAGCCATCACTCTACATTCTATTTCCATGAGTTTATTTGTTTTAATTTTCAGCTCCCACATATGAGTGAGAACATGCTAAATTTGTCTTTCTGCCCAGCTTATTTCACTTAATGTAATATCCTCCAGTTCCATCCATGTTGCTGCACATGACTGTTGTTACAATTCTTTTCATTAGTCTCTTTCTCTCTTTTTTTGAGACAGAGTCTCACTCTGTCACCCAGGCTGGTGTGCAGTGGCACAATCTCAGCTCACTGCAACCTCCACTTCCTGGGTTCAAGCAATTCTCCTGCCTCAGACTCCCGGGTAGCAAGTACCTGGGACCACAGGTTTGTGCGACCATGCCTGACTAATTTTTGTATTTTTAGTAGTGATGGGGTTTCACTAGGTTGGCCAGGCTGATCTTGACCTCCTGGCCTCAAGCGATCCGTCCACCTTGGCCTCCCAAAATGCTGGGATTACAAGGGTGAGCCACTGTGCCTGGCATCACTAGTCTCTTTAGGGAGTTCCCAAAGCTAGGAATAGACTGGGCCTTTTTGGATCAGTGGGCAGGTCTGGGTACCTGCACTGTGATTCCTTTCAGCACACATTTCCTGTGCTGGGTTAATGAGGCAGGGCCTGCCCACCCATTCCCTGCAGCCTCACATAAATGCTTGTGAGACAGACTGGGAGATCGAGTAACTTCACTTGGTGAGTGTAGTTAGAAGACCGCCCTTGGCCCTGGGCTGTGGGGACCCACATGGAGAAGCTATGATCAGATTGTGTAGGGGAAAACCCTCAAGTCAGCTTTTTTTTTTTTTGAGACAGAATTTCACTCCATTACCCAGGCTGGAGTGCAATGGCACAATCTTGGCTCACTGCAACCTCTGCCTCCCAGGTTCAACTGATTCTCCTGCCTCAGCCTCTGGAGTAGCTCGGATTACAGGCACGCGCCACCATGACTGGCTAATTTTTGTGTGTATTTTTAGTAGAGATGGGGTTTCACCATGTTGGCCAGGCTGGTCTCGAACTCTTGACCTCAGTTCATCCTCCCACCTCGGACTCCCAAAGTGCTGGGATTATGGTCATGAGCCACCGTGCCCGGCCAAGTCATCTCTTAAAAGGGGAGAAAAGCCTGCAGGGCTAGGGGTGGGGATGGGTGTGGGTGGAGGGGTAGAGGGTGGGCAGGAAACGGAGTGTTCTCTGCTGGGAGAACAGCACCCCAGCACTGTGCGTCATGCACAGTAGGTATTTGTAGAATGAATGAGTAGACGAATGAGCACATTTAGTCTGTGTTGCCCTCTAGGGAGCTTTTTATTTTTCCATGTGTTTACCTAAGACTGAATTTTTATGATTTACAAAAATCAGATGCATTTGTATGAGATGTTCATAAATTTTCATCCTACTGTGAGGTGTTTAACTTTGGGATTCAATAGAGAATGAAAATAAATACAGAACATGAGATTTGTTGATTATAAAGCAAAACAACAACAACAACAAACAGATCGGCCGGGCGCAGTGGCTCACCCCTGTAATCCCAGCACTTTGGGAGGCCAAGGCGGGCAGATCATGAGGTCAAGAGATCAAGACCATCCTGGCCAACATGGTGAAAACCTGTCTATACTAAAAATACAAAAATTAGCTGGGCGTGGTGGCCTGCGCCTGTAGTCCCAGCTACTCGGGAGACTGAGGCAGGAGAATTGCTTGAACCCGGGAGGCAGAGGTTGCAGTGAGCCGAGGTCATGCCACTGCAGTCCAGCCTGGGGACAATGCGAGTGTCTCAAAAAAAAAAAAAAAACAGATCTCACCGCCACCCCACAAAACTGTCTGGGGTGTGAAACTGTGTACTGGGCCATTTGCAAAAGGAATGGTTTGGAAAACCCACATTGGGGTGTGAGTTTGGCCGTTTTAACTTTCCAGTTCATTGTCTTTGATTTTTTCCTCAGACCTCATCCTCACTTGATTACGGAAGCCGGCAGATCTGTCCTGCCTCCCGTTCTGCCCGGTCCCATTTGGAATTCCCAGAGTTTTCCTGACCTGTCGTTCTTGTGGTGTCTCATCAGGCTGAACCGTTCACAGGAGAACTCCCTGCCCAGCAGACACTGCCCATCCTCGGAGAGAAACTGCACCAGGTCTTCCACAGCGTCCTGGAAAACCTCACCAACGTCATGAGTGGCTTTTGTCTGCCAGAGCCCGTTTTTAGCATAAAGGTAAAGTCACCTATGAGCGCAGGCGTGTAGACCAGTGCGGAGGGTCAGAAGATCTACCCCGTGACAGCAGAGGTCATTATTGAGTAAGAAATGAGAAAATGGTCGGTCCTCTGTTGTTTTTATTTTATTTATTTTATTTTTTCAGACAAGGTCTCACTCTGTCACCCAGACTCACTGCAGCCTCGACCTCCTGGGCTCAAGAGATCCTACCACCTCAGCCTCCCACGTAGCTGGGACTATAGGTGCACCCCACCACGCCCGGCTAATTTTTTGTATTTTTGTAGAGATGGCATTTTGCCATGTTCCCCACGCTGGTCTTGAACTCTTGGGCTCAAGTGATCCATCCGCCTGGGCCTCCCAAAGTGCTGGGATTACAGGCCTGAGCCACCGCACCCAGCCCCTCGGTTGTGTTTATGAAGGACCTGTCCTCAGGGAATTCCTCAATTCAATTGTAAACATTGGCCTGACTTTTTCTCCTTGATCGTAAACTGGGCTTGTAGCAGTTCAGCTCAAGACTGAGAATACTCCAGTAGGACATTAAGGAAGGAGTCAGTGGGGGTCACCCTGCTTAAGGAGATGACAGACAAGGCACTTTGTTTGAAACACACCTCTGTTCGTCATTCACCCTTGCTGGGTCTCATCTGCTCACTCAGTAGAGAAACAAGAAGTTCTCTGATTTGCAGACCTCCTTGAAAGACCCATGATGCTCATAGCAGTGACTAAGCATCACACTGTGTGCTGTACCGGGTCCGTCTCAGGAGAGCAAATCATGATGGTGATGACGATAATAACCGCCAACCCTTAGCAAGTATGTACCATGTGTCACCCCCCTTTGTTTTTGAGAGGGAGCCTTGCTCTGTCACCCACACCAAAGTGTGGTGGCACGATCTTGTCTCACTGTAACCTCTGCCTCCCAGGTTCAAGCGATTCTCCTGCCTCAGCCTCCCGAGTAGCTGGGATTACAGGCGTGTGCCACCATACCCAGCTAATTTTTGTATTTTTTAGTAGAGACGGGGTTCTACCGTGTTGGCCAGGCTGGTCTTGAACTCCTGACCTCAGGTGATCCACCCACCTTGGCCTCCCAAAGTACTGGGATTACAGGCGTGAGCCACCGTGCCCGCTGTGTCACCTTCTAACTACTTAAAAGTTCAATCATTTCATCCTCCCAGCAACCGATAAGGTAGGAACTCTTATTTCCACTTACAGTTGAGGCAACTGAGGGACACAGAGACTAAGAGACTTGCTGTGCTTCATACATGAGGAGGCAAAGATGAGATCTGAACCATGGCCATCAGGATTCTGACTCTGTGCTCTTCGCCCCCACGTTATGCTGCCTGATGATTATTACCACCATTGCAACATTTTTTTTTTTTTTTTGGAGACAGGGTCTTGCTCTGTCTCCCAGGCTGGAGTACAGTGGGGGAAACACTGCTCACTACAACCTCGACCTCTGGGTTCAAGCAATCATCCCACTTCAGCCTTCCAAGTAGCTGGGGTTACAGGTGCCTGCCACCACACCCAGCTAATTTTTTGTAGAGACGGGGTCTCGCCATGTTGCCCAGGCTGGTCTCGAACTTCTGGGCTCAAGTGATCCTCCCGCCTTGGCCTCCCAAAGTGTTCAGATTACAGGCATCAGCCACCGCACCCCACAATAATTGCAACTTTTATTAGTTGGGGCACTTCGCAGTTTATGCATCAGTTCACTTTGAAACCTCACAACCACACTAGGATGTTGGCCCCACTATCATCGTCATCCAAAGACCATCAGCATTGGCTACTGAGACACCCCGGAAACAGCATAGGGCAGCAGTTCAGAGTCTCAGGAGCTGAATAGCCTGGGTTTGCTTCTTACTAGCTGAGTGACTTTGGTTAACTTAACTAACCTCTCTGTGTTTCAGTTGCCTCAATTGCAAAATGGACAAAATCATTAGACTTCCTTTATATGGTTGCTTTTAGGGATCAAATGATAACATGAAAAGAAAGTTCCTAGAACACTGTCTGGCACTAAGCAAGTATCCTATAAACATCAGCTCATCATGTGACCTTATGTTTGATCCCCCACACCATGCTGGCTTTCTGATGCACAGAGAGGGGGAGTCAGGGTCTTCCTATGTAGGGAAACTGAGTATTCCCCTGTGGTCAGGGGGCCATTCCACTCTGGACTGCCCCAGAGGCTGCTGGGTCTGGATCTTCAGCCACTTGAGTGCATGGGGTCAGGATGGGTTGAGCTGTGTTGGGTGCCCTGTTTGGGGCGGTGGTGCCCATGCCCATGCAGGGCTGGGGGCTGATGCTGTGGTCCCCGCTTCAGCTGAAGGAGTGGGTGCAGAAGCTCATGATGACCCTCCGGCACCCGTCACTGCCGCTGCTGGAGCTGCAGGAGATCATGACCAGCGTGGCAGGCCGCATCCCCGCCCCTGTGGAGAAGTCTGTCCGCAGGGTGATGGCCCAGTATGCCAGCAACATCACCTCGGTGCTGTGCCAGTTCCCCAGCCAGCAGGTGCGTGCTCCCCTGCCCAGCCCCACCCCACCAGGATGGTCACACTGGGCCGGCTCCCGGTCTGGCTCGATATCTGGCCTCTGATCAAGTTGAACTCCTTGAGACCCACTTATAGCCTAACATATCAGGGGCCGAGGGTTTCCTTTTGAGCCTTGTCTGCAGAATCCTATCATTTACTCAAAGCAACAGTTGTTTGAATGAACATCAGTATTCCTTAGGCCTCATTGCCTAAAACCCAAGATTCTGAATAGGAGTGAGCAGTTGTTGCAGATGGAGTGAGCATTTCCCAAAAAATAAACTGGCTGACATCATTAGAGGAAACTGCAAGTTTTTTTATTTTTGTTTTTTCACTGGTTTGCAGCTTTGATTTTCTGCCCCTGGATTTTGTAGGTGATCATCTGGGAGCTCCATGTATGTGTGTGTGTGTGTGTATCTGTGTGTATATATATATACACACACATATATATGCATATATATACACATACACACACGTGTGTATATATGTATATACACACATACACACACGTGTGTATATATGTATATACACACATACACACACGTGTGTATATATGTGTATACACACATACACACACGTGTGTGTATATATGTGTATACACACATACACACACGTGTGTGTATATATGTGTATATGTGTATATATACACACGTGTGTATATATGTGTATATGTGTATATATACACACACGTGTGTATATATGTGTATATATGTATATATACACACATGTGTGTGTATATGTATATATACACGTACATGTATGTGTGTATATATGTATATATACACACGTGTGTATATGTATATATGTATATATACACACGTGTGTATATGTATATATGTATATATACACACATGTGTGTATATGTATATATGTATATATACACACATGTGTGTATATGTACATATACACACACATATCTGTGTGTATATGTATATATACACACACATATCTGTGTATATATGTATATACACGCACACACATATCTGTGTATATATGTATATACACGCACACACATGTGTATATATGTATATACACGCACACACATGTGTATATATGTATATACACGCACATACATGTGTATATATGTATATATACGCACATACATGTGTATATGTGTATATATACATGTATGTGTATATACGCACATACATGTGTATATGTGTATATATACGTGCATGTATATATACATATATACATGTATGTGTGTATATACATATAAACATATATATGTATATATATAATATTTTTTAAGAATTATACTGAGGTCGGGTGCATTGGCTCACGCCTGTAATCCCAGCACGTTGGGAGGCCAGGGCAGGTGGATCACTTGAGGTCAGGAGTTCGAGACCAGCCTGGTCAACATGGTGAAACCCCATCTATACTAAAAAAAAAAAATTAGCTGGGCGTGGTGTTGCACACCTGCAATCCCAACTACTCAGGAGGCTGAGGCAGGAGAATTGCTTGAACCCAGGAGGTGGAGGTTGCAGTGAGCCGAGATCGCACCACTGTGCTCCAGAAAAAAAAAAAAGAATGTACTGAGATGTCTTATCATAATCATAGTTGCATTTGTGAACATGTTAAAAAAAAAAAAAGAATGGAAGCCATTCCAGGGAAGTAAGAAATATCTCTGTTATTTACACATCGGCCTCGCGTTGTTCATTTTGTTGTGGTTGTTGGTTTTGTGGGGCATTTGAAAGGCATTTGCACTGGGAAGAGCCCCTCTGCCTGTTTGCCTTCCTGCCCTCTGGTGGGAGGGTTCCCCACCATCATCATCCACCCACCCACAAATTGGTGATTTGGGAAACCAGAGGACAGTGTAGTTCAGGCCATTCTCGGAGGTTAGGAGTTCTATGGGTTGGAATGTTGTTCAGCCAAAGAAAGAAAGAATACTGATTCATGCTCCCACGTGGATGAACCTATTGTGCTAAGGGAAATAAGCCAGGCACAAAAGACCACATATTATGTGATTCCTCTTTTTTTTTTTTTTTTTTTTTTGAGACCTCCCGAATAGTTGGGATTACAGGTGTACACCACCATTCCCAGCTATTTTTTTGTATTTTTTTAGTGAAGATGGGTTTTCACCATGTTGGCCAGGCTGGTCTTGAACTCCTGACCTCAGGTGATCTGCCTGCCTCGGCCTCCCAGAGTGCTGGGATTACAGGCATGAGCCATGGTGCCCAGCCCTGTGTGATTCCAATTTTATGAAATGTCCAGAATAGGCACGTTCATGAAGAAGGAAGTAGATTAGTGGCCGCCAGGGGCTGCAGTGCAGGGAAAATGGAGAGTGAGCGCTAATGACTACAAGGTTTCTTTTTAGAGTGACGAAAATGCTTTAAAATTAGATGGTGGTGATAGTTGCACAACTTTATGAATACACTACCAACCACTGAATGTACACTTTAAAGGGAGATGGTGGAATATGATGGTGTGTAAGTTATATCTGAACTAAAAAATAACAAAAGCCAAACTCTAGAGGATCCTAACTGAAAAAGTACACACTTGGAACTTTCAGGAATTTGTCATTGATCCAGGTTTTTTTTTCTTTAAAAATATTTTTGATGCCAAAGGCAATACACCGATAACATTATGTGTAATGATAAAGACAGGACCCTTCCCCATGAGCACCCTGGTTTTTGCTAGAGTGGGACATTCCCATCTCCTTGTTCCCCATCCCATTGATATGTGCGGAATGGTATAAGGCGAATGTGTGCACTCCTCCATGTGATCGCTGGCATTTTGAGCGCTTGAATTCCTCACCGTTGAGGGGATGAACAGGGGTGTTTCAGGGTAGCTGGAAGGCTTTGGGCCTGGAATTTTCAATCTTCAAATGAGTCTCGGATGGGACCTCCCTGGGAGGCTGTGGTGGGTCCTTTAGGTCAGCAGTTCCCAACCTTTTTAGCACCAGGGACCGGTTTTGTGGAAGATAGTTTTTCCACGGACCGGGGAGGGGGATGGTTTCGGGATGATTCAAGCACGTTACATTTATGGTGCACTTTATTTCTATTATGATTACATTGTAATATATAATGAAATAATTATACAACTCACCATAATGTAGAATCTGTGAGAGCCCCAGGCTTGTTTTCCTGCACCTAGAAGGTCCCATCTGGGGGTGATGGGAGACAGCGACAGATCATCAGGCCTTAGATTATCGTAACGAGCATGCAACCTAGGTCCCTCGCATGCACGGTTCACAGCAGGGTTTGCGCTCCTGTGAGAATCTAATGCTCCCGCTGATCTGACAGGAGGTGGAGCTCAGATGGTAATGTGAGCAATGGGGAGGGGCTGTAAATACAGATGAAGCTTCGCTCCCTCACCCACTGCTTACCTCCCACTGTTCAGCCAGTTCCTAACAGGCCACGGACCAGTGCTCGTTTGGGTACTGGTTTGGGGACCCTTTCTTTAGGGGACTGCTGTGTGTCATCTGAATCATCAGCAGTCAGACCTGTCTTGTTTTCCCATCCAGATAGCCACCATCCTGGACTGCCATGCAGCCACCCTGCAGCGGAAGGCTGATCGAGAGGTCTTCTTCATCAACACCCAGAGCATCGTGCAGTTGGTCCAGAGGTGAATCCTGGGTCTCCCCGTAGGATGTGGTTGTCACCTGAATCGTCGCATGCATTGCACCAGGGTGGTGCTCTGGGGCTGTCTTCAGGGCAGGCTTGAACTGAGAGAAAGTGTGTTATAGTCCTGCAGTGCCATTACTAACAGCAGAACCCTGGGTGAGGTACTTTACTTCTGTAAATCTCTGTTTGTAAATCTCAGCTCACTGCAACCTCCGCCTCCCAGGTTCAAGCAATTCTCCTGCCTCAGCCTCCCGAATAGCTGGGATTACGGGCATGTGCCACCATGCCTGGCTAATTCTTGTACTTTTAGTAGAGACGGTGTTTCACCATGTTGGCCAGGCTGGTCTCGAACTCCTGACCTCAAGTGATCCATTCTCCTCGACCTCCCAAAGTGCTGGGATTACAGGCCTGAGCCACCATGTCTGGCCTATAAATGTATTAAGTTTTGTGAAGTGCTGACAAATAGTAAATACTTGATAGATACATTAGATTGAGACAATGGGATGAAATAGCTTTATGTATGATAAAACACTGCAAAAATTGTTATTGTGGCTTTTGGGACAATTGCAAAGGAAAGTGGATGAATAATTGTATTTCATCTCAAGTAGTTATTTATTGTACAGGGGTTTCCCGCTGCAGGACTATTCTGATGACAAAAGGATTTTCTTTGTTTTTTTGAGATGGAGTTTCGCTCTGTCGGCCAGGCTGGAGTGTAATGGTTCGATCTTGGCTCACTGCAAGCTCCGCCTCCCGGGTTCACGCCATTCTTCTGCTGCCTCAGCCTCCCGAGTAGCTGGAACTACGGGCGCCCAACACCACGCCCGGCTAATTTTTTTGTGTGTTTTTAGCAGAGATGGAGTTTCATCATGTTAGCCAGGATGGTCTCAATCTCCTGACCTCGTGATCCCCCTGCCTCGGCCTCCCAAAGTGCTGGGATTACAGGTGTGAGCCACTGCACCCGGCTGACAAAAGGATTTTCTGCCACTTTTCATGAAAAATCCACCTAGCAAGAAGGCTTTCCTTATGAAGACAATCAGGGCCAGGCGCTGTGGCTTATGCCTGTAATCCCAGAATTTTGGGAGGCCAAGGCAAGAGGATCACTTGAGGCCAGGAGTTGGAGACCAGCCTGGGTGATGTAGCGAGACCCTGTCTCTACAAAAAAAAAAGAAAAAAAAAATGAGTCGGGGATGGTGGTGTGTACCTATAGGCCCAGCTACTCAGGAGGCTGAGGTGAGAGGACTGCTTGAGCCCAGGAGTTCGAGGTTATAGTGAGCTGTGATCGCGCCATTGCACTCCAGCCTGGGGACAGAGCAAGACCTTGTCTTTTATGAAAAAGAAAAAAGGAATCAAAGCATTCTTGGATTTGAACCAGTAAATTCCAGGCATGTTTCCCATGTGCCAGAAACTCACAGGTACAAAGAATGTGAGATTGTAGAAAACTGGCCTCCTTTTCAAGGAGCTCCTCAGCTGTTAGGGAGAGAGATTTTAGTGTGGATTCCCCACAAACTGCAAGTTTCACAGCCAAGGGCTAGGAAGGGAGTCCTCCTAAAACACATAGACTGCTAACCTTAAGCCCATCCTTTAAGCTTCAGAGAAACATCTAGGAAAAATGAACCATTAATAAATTAACTGAATTTTCTAGCAAGTTTTCTGTGCTGACCATAAATATTAAAGCCCTGTCCTGTATTGTGTAAGTATGTTTTAAAATCACATTTGTATCAGAGTCTTTTAGCATCTTGGTCTGTTTTGTTGTGATTTGGTGATGCTGCCATGAAGCGTCTACTTCCCCACAACTCAGTGGCGCATCTCCTGAGAAACTTGACTCCTGTGTTCAGATTTTTGGAAGAACATCCAGGTTAAAACTTTGTTTTAAAAGAAGCGGCTAGGTGCGATGGCTCACACCTATAATCCCAGCACTTTGGGAGGCCAAGGCGGATGGATTGCTTGAGCTCAGAGGTTCGAGACCAGCCTGGGCAATATGGTGAAACCCTGTCTACAAAATATACAAAAATTAGCCAGGCTTGGTGGTGGCCACCTGTGGTCCCAGCTACTCCAGAGGCTGAGGTGAGAGGATTGCTTGAGCCCGGGAGGCAGAGATTACAGTGAGCTGTGATTGCACCACTGCACTCCAGCCTGGGTGGCAGAACAAAACCTCGTCTCAAAAAAAAGAAAAAAAAAAAGGGAGAAGCAAAATTTACATGGGGATCTTTTGGTAAATGTTTTTCCAGTTTGTCTTTTTAAAATGGTCTCTATACCTTGGGTAAGTAATTGAAAAATTTTGTTTTTAACAGTTAAAGCTTGCTAAAATTGGCTACCCCTGTTCAGTATCCGAAATCTATGAAGTTTTTTTTTTTTCTTAACTCTGTGGCCAGAAAGGCGCCCTCCCAAGTATAAGGCTTGGGATCTACCTACTCCAGTTTTGCCTCCAGTTTGATGTGGGACTTTGGGCAGGGCAGTGTTCTTTTTGGCCTGCAGATGAATCAACTCCATATCCTTTGAAGGCCTCAGGATTAGAGGGTGCCTCTAGATACTTTAAAAAAATTTTTGGCTGGGCGCGGTGGCTCATGCCTGTAATCCCAGCACTTTGGGAGGCCAAGACAGCCGGATCATGAGGTCAGGAGATCGAGACCATCCTGGCTAACACGGTGAAACCCCGTCTCTACTAAAAATACAAAAAAATTAGCCGAGCGTGGGTGGCAGGCGCCTGTAGTCCCAGCTACTCGGGAGGCTGAGGCAGGAGAATGGCGTGAACCCGGGAGGTGGAGCTTGCAGTGAGCCGAGAATCGTGCCACCGCACTCCAGCCTGGCCGACTGAGCGAGACTCTGTTTCAAAAAAAAAAATGTATTTTTAAATTAACTAATTAATTAATTTTTATTTATTTATTTTGAGACAAGCTGTCACCCAGGCTGGAGTGCAGCAGTGCAATCATAGCTCACAACAGCCTTGACCTCCTGGGCTCAAGCGATCCTATCACCTCAGCCTCCTATGTAGCTAGGACCACAGTCATGCGCTACCACTCCCGGCTAATTTTTTTGATTTTTTTGTAAAGACAAGGTCTCACCTTGTTGCCCAGGCTGCTCTTGAACTTCTGAGCTCAAATGATACTCACGCCTCAGCCTCCCAAAGTGCTGGGATTATTGGTGTGAGCCACCATGCCTGGCCTTAATTTTTTTGTTTTGTTTTGTAGATATGGGGTCTTGGCTATATTGCCCAGGCTTGAACTCCTGGGCTCCAGTGATCCTCCCACCTCAGTGTCCTTTCTAAAATCCTTTCTCTCTCTCTCTTTTTTTTTTTTTTTTTTTTGAGACGGAGTCTTGCTCTGTCGCCCAGGCTGGAGTGCAGTGGTGCGATCTCGGCTCACTGCAACCTCCTCTTCCCGGATTCAAGCTATTCTCATGCCTCAGCCTCCTGAGTAGCTGGGACTACCGGCGCGTGCCACCATGCCCAGCTAGTTTTTGTATTTTTAGTAGAGACAGGGTTTCACCATTTTGGCCAGGCTGGTCTCGATCTCTTGACCTCGTGATCTGCCTGCCTCGGCCTCCCAAAGTGCTGGGATTACAGGCATGAGCCACCATGCCCAGCCAATCCTTTCTCTTTTTAAAAATCATAAAAAAAAATACTAAATATTCAGGTACTCAAGGAAGGGTGTGAGCATTAAGAGCAGCCTTCCCTTCTCCCCAGATACCGCAGCGGGATCCGCGGCTATATGAAAACAGTGGTGTTGGATCTCCTGAGAAGATACTTGCGTGTTGAGCACCATTTTCAGCAAGGCAAGAGATGCTGATGCCAACACCAGTGGGATGGTGGGGGGCGTGAGGAGCCTGAGCTTTACCTCTGTGTGGTGTTTTGTCTCCCCCAGCCCACTACGACAAGTGTGTGATAAACCTCAGGGAGCAGTTCAAGCCAGACATGTCCCAGGTGCTGGACTGCATCTTCTCCCACGCACAGGTGGCCAAGAAGAACCAGCTGGTGATCATGTTGATCGTAAGCAGGAAGAGGGCCTGTTACTAGACTGGGGGTGGGTCAGGAGTCCACAAACGTTTTCTTAAAAGGGCCAGAAAGTGGCTGGGTGCGGTGGCTCATGCCTGTAATCCCATCACTTTGGGAGGCTGAGGCGGGCAGATCACTTGAGGTTAGGAGTTTGAGACCAGCCTGGCTAACATAGTGAAACCTCGTCTCCACTAAAAATACAAAAATTAGCTGGCCATGGTGGTGCATACCTGTAATCCCAGCTACTTGGGAGGCTGAAGCAGAAGGATCGCTTGAACCCTGAAGGCAGAGGTTGCAGTGAGCCGAGATTGTGCCATTGCACTCCAGCCTGGGCAACAGGGTGAGATTCTGTCTCAAAAAATAAATAAAAGAAAAAGTAAGCCAGCAAGTAAATTTTTTAGACTTTGCAGGTTGGTGTGGTCTCTGTCGTGACCACTCAACACTGCCTTTGTACAATGTAAGGGAATGGGCATGGCTGTGTTCCCATAAAACTTTGTTGGGAGCCCGAGGTGGGAGGATCACTTGAGCCTAGGAGTTCAAGTCCAGCCTAGGCAACATTGCAAGACTCCATTTCTTAGAAAAAAAATTAAAACTGGGCACTGTGGCTCACATCTGTAATCCCAGCACTTTGGGTGGCTGAGGCAGGAGAATCACTCGAGGCCAGGAGTTTGAGACGAGCCTGGGCAACATAGGGAGACCCCCATCTCTACAAAAAGTACAAAAATTAGCCAGGTGTGGTGGTGTGCACCTGTAGTCCCAGCTACTCAGGGGGCTGAGGCAGGAGGATTGCTTGAGCCTGGGATGTTGAGGCTGCAGTAAGCTGTGATCACACCACTACACTCCAGCCTGGGTGACAGAATGAGATCCTGTCTCAAAAAACAACAAAAAAAATCCCAACTTTGTATACAAAAACAGGCAATGAGTCGGGTTTGTTGGCACTGGGAAGATCATGACTAATGCAAAGCACCTAGTTTGTGCCAGGTACTCCTGAAGTGCTTTCCAAATAAATAGTTGCTCATTTAATTCACGCAGCAGTCCTAGAAAGTGGGTACTGCTGTCACAGCTCTTTGGCAGAGCACAGAGAGGTTAAGCCACTTGCCCAAGGGCACCCAGCTCCTAAATGTAGAGCCAGGATTTGAACCAATAGTCTGACTCCAGACTCATGAACTATTAGCCGCAGGATATTGGATTTTGAGTCCTGTGTGTGGAGAAGAAGAAATATGGAGTCTCTGTTCTTGTTTCTCTTTCCACTCGATGATAGCAGTCTTTTGTTTTTTGTCTGTTTTTTCTTTTGAGACAGGGTCTCGCTCTGTTGCCCAGGCTGGAGTGCAGTGGTGCCATCATGGCTCACTGTAGCCTCTATCCCCTGGGCTTAAGCCATCCTCCCACCTCAGCCTCCCAAGTAGCTGGGATTACAGACTCACACCACCACGCCCAGCTAGTTTGTTTGTTTGTTTGTTTGTTTGTTTGTTTGTTTTGTAGAGATGAGGTCTCACTATGTTTCCCAGTCTTGTCTCGAACTCCCGCGCTCAAGCAATCCTCCTGCCTTGGCCTCCCAAAGTGCTGGGATTACAGGCATAAGCCACTGCGCCTGGCCGATAATAGCAGTCTTTTATAACTAAAAATATTTTTCTTTGATATGTCCCTTGCAACTGACTTGGAAAATGTAGGATCAGCAGAGTAAGAGCAACTTGGACTTGGCTTATAGTAGAAAGGGGTTTGGCAATTTTTTTTTTTTTTTTTTTGAGATGGAGTCTTGCTCTGTCGCCCAGGCTGGGGTGCAATGGCATAATCTTGGCTCACTGCAACCTCCGCCTCCCGGGTTCTATCTATCTTCTATCTATCTTTTTTTTTTTTTTTGAGGCAGAGTCTCACTCTATCCCCCAGGCTGGAGTGCAGTGGCACGATCTCTGTTCACTGCAACCTCCACCTCCAGGGTTCAAGCAATTCTCCTGTCTCAGCCTCGTTTAGCTGGGATTACAGGCATGCGCCACCACGCCCGGCTAATTTTTGTGTTTTTAGTAGAGACGTGGTTTCACCATGTTAGCCAGGCTGGTCTTGAATTCCTGACCTCAGGTGATCCACCAGCCTCGGCCTCCCAAAGTGCTGGGATTATAGACATGAGCCACCACGCCCGGCCTGGCAACTTTTTTTTGTAAAGGGCTCCAGATAGTAAAGATTTTAGGCTTGAGGACGTCCACCCCCTATTGCCACTACTCAGCTCTGTGAGCTCTGCCACTGTAGCCTGAAAACTAGACAATAGGTACATGAATGAGGGTGGCTATGTTCCAATAAAACTTTATTTACAAAAACAGTCAGTAGGCAGAGTTTGGCCACGATCTCAGAGAATAGTTAATACCCTGTCCCCTGTCCAAGTTGCATTAATAAATATTGGGATTTTTGGTAAAGAATCATTTAAAAATCTCACGCAGCAGCTTTTAATCCTGGCTGTACATTAGAATCACCTAGGGGGTGGGGAGACTTAAAAAATACAATTGCCCATGCCCCACCCTTGGTCAATTTAATCAGAGTTTCTAGGGGTAGGGCCCAGGCATTAGTGCTTTTTGAAAGTTTCCCTGTGGGAAACCTAAATGTGCACTGTATATTAGATAATATTATTGGTTTAATGTTCAGTTTCTTTGGTGTTTTAATGGTTCTGTAGTAGGTGGAAGGGAGATATGTGCGAAAATAGTGTAAAGGATTGTGGTGTCTGCAACTGACTTTCAGAAAAAGAGAGAGTGTGTATGTGTATGCGCACGTACGTTCTTATTAGAGAAAAATCAAATATGATAATGTGGCAAAAGTTTTAACAATTAGTGAATCTAGGTGATTACTATGGGTTTTTAACATACTGATCTTCAATTCTTCTGTAGTTTTGAAGTTTGTAAAAATTAATTGGGAGAGAGGACTCTCCAAGTGATTGCAACACGCAGCCAGGACTGGGAATTTATGCCCAAGGAGATATCCACTCTTTGGGGGGAGTTCTATTACTAAAATAATATAATGTTTTTCAAAATACATTCTTTGGATGGAGTTTCCTGGAGTTTGAGTGTTTGTCAAGCAAAATATGCCTGTAATCTATTACAGTCAGCTTGCCATTCAAAGGCAGTGGGTCTGTGGGTTATTTTGCTGTTCGTTCTTCTGTGCACATATTGACTCTCTTCTGGGCATGAAGTCATGAAATATCATGTACACCAGAGGACAGCCAAGGGAAGATGGGTGGAGCAGCCCCCAGTTCTTGGGAATTGGGACATTTTCCTGGACCTCCTTGGTGATAGAGGCTAAAAATGTTGAACCAATTACAGTCTCGGGATAAATGTGAGATTCATTATTCTTCTGACTTTCTTGGTCCCATTTGTTAGAAAATAGTGAGTTCTCTGCACCTGATGGTATTTGGTACCTGAGAGGTTTTGAACAAAGACTTGTGAATTGAATGATTATTTCGAAATGAATTTTTTTGAGGCTTTTAAAGGGACCTAGTTTCTGACACCAGTTCACTGGTCATGGGACTTCGTTAGTGACAAAACGAAGCAAACAAAACATGATTCTGAGAACTAAAATATACAAGATGAGACTGCTTCACAAAGTTAACAAGAAAGAAAAATGGTGTTGTTGTTGTTGTTGTTGTTGTTTGTTTGTTTTCGAGACAGAGTCTTGCTCTGTCACCCAGGTTGGAGTGCAGTGGCGCAATCTCGGCTCACTACAACCTCTGCCTCCTGGGTTCAAGTGATTCTCCTGCCTCAGCCTCCCGAGTAGCTGGGACTACAGGCACGTACCACCACACCTGACTAATTTTTTTGTAGTTTTAGTAGGAAACAGGGTTTTGCCATGTTGGCCAGGCTGGTCTTGAACTCTTGGCCTCAGATGATTTGTCCGCCTTGGCCTCCCAAAGTGCAGGGATTACAGGCCTGAGCCACCATGCCCTGCCTAGAAAAATGTTTTTGTTATTATTATTATTATCTTTTGTATGTAGAAGGCAATGGTTAGATTTTTTAACATTCACACTTAGATGTGTGGGGGGAAATTTAAAAAATGTTCACACAAACTCTTGAGTTTTTCACCTCTTAGAAAAGCACCAGTCTAGCTGCTGGCCAGCACCTGTGCTGTCTGGCCTGGGAGCCACATGCCTAGGGGATTGGTGGGGAGTTATGCCACCACCGTTTAATAATAGAAAGCAAATCAGAGAAGGGAGAGGAGATTTAGAACACTTTCCTACCACATTTCTTCAGCATTGATGTTCCTGTGTCTTTGTGTATGAAATATCAATATGTTGAAGTTTTTTCTGATGATAAAATCAGTCTCGGTTCATTATAATAGGAAAATGCAGAAACACATGTAGAAAAAAATGCCCCACAGCTCTACCATCTGGTGACCTCTTGAAGACCAGTCTTAGTGGATGCCCGGGGTGGGGAATGGGGGCATATTGCTCAGGAGCTCTGATATTTAGCATTCATTGCTCCATCTTCAGTGGGTGGTTAGGGAGCACCTGCGCTGAGCTGTTCCCAAGCCCCATATGCACTTAGGGCATAAGAGGAGATGCGAACACCGGCTGCACCCAGGCCTGGTCTCCAGCAGAAAGGCCCTTCTTTCAGAAGCAGAGAGGAGGGATGCAACACAGACACATTGTCCCTCCCTCTCCTGCAAGATTCAACCCCACGTCCCTCTCCTCTGAAACCGTGAGCGCCTTAAGTCAGGCAGCAATGTGTAGGGGAAGGAGCGGGAGGCTTTGGGGGCAGAATAGTGCTGTGTTCGAATCTGGCTCTGTCTTGCACATGTTTGCTGGCTTTGGGGTGAGGCATATTGCCTCTTTGAGCCTCAGTGTTCCTATCTGTAAAATGGGAATCAAAATAAGTAACTCTTCGTGGGGGTGGGAGAATTTGGGGAGTTGTATATAAAGGGTCTAGCTGTTTACTAGCCACCTGGCACATAGTATGTGCCTGATAATCACTGACCTTTTTTTTTTTTTTTGGGGGGGAGACAGAGTCTGGCTCTGTTGCCCAGGCTGGAGTACAGTGGTGCGATCTCAGCTCACTGCAACCTCCACCTCCCAAGGGATGATCAAATCATCCTCCCACCTCAGCCTTCTGAGTAGCTGGGACTACAGGCATGTGCCACCATGCCCGGCTAATTTTTCTATTTTTTTTTTTGTAGAGACAAGGTTTTGCGCTGTTGCCCAGGCTGGTCTCAAACTCCTGAGCTCAAGCGATCCTCCTGCCTCAGCCACCCAAAGTGCTGGGATTATAGGTGTGAGCCACCATGCCTGGCCTAATCACTGGCTATTAATAGTAACGTAGGCAGGGACTTAGTTGTATTTGTTTGTTCTTACCAGGCATTTAGGGCATGTTGTGGGGTGGATGAATGGGTGGCCGAGTGAGTGAGTGAGTGAGTGAATGAATGACTGACTGGGGTGGGTGCACAGTAGAAAGTGGTGAGGGTTTGCATAACAGGCTGTGCTGGGCCTGTTTGGAGAGTGGAGCAGCCGCCTGGCTTTTGCGGCAGGTGCTCCCCAAGTCGAGATGAGTGCTGCATGTTTCCCTGGGCTGGAGAAAAGCCATTTGGCTTCTTTTTCTGTCCCCTAAGGATGAGCTGTGTGGCCCAGACCCTTCCCTGTCGGACGAGCTGATCTCCATCCTCAACGAGCTCACTCAGCTGAGCAAAAGCGAGCACTGCAAAGTGGCCCTCAGAGCCCGGCAGGTAGGGTCTCAGGGTGCGGTCCCCACGATGTGCGTTTCCCCCCACCCTCCTATGTGTCCCCTACCGTGCTCAGCCCTCACCATGCACAGTCCCACCGTGCTGCCGGCCCGTGCCCGAGCCTCTGCCTTCTGCCCTGGGAGGTTGGCTCACGCCAGCGCCCCCATCCCTCCCCCTGCAGATCCTGATTGCCTCCCACCTCCCCTCCTACGAGCTGCGGCATAACCAGGTGGAGTCCATTTTCCTGTCTGCCATTGACATGTACGGCCACCAGTTCTGCCCCGAGAACCTCAAGGTGAGCCCGTCTCCTTCCTTTCACCATCTGCAGAGCACACACTGTGGCCCAGGTGGGGGCCTCTGGGGAAACGGCTCCTCCTGCCCTCCAGGTGCTCAGTGGGGTGCAGGGCACAGCCACAGATGCAGACAGTTCAGCCCAATGTGGCCAGGGCTGCCCGAGGGGTCACCTGGGGAGACTCTAGGAGAGGTGGGCATGGAGCCCAGTCCTCCAGGAAGGACAGTGTGACAGCAGTGGGGGCTCACCTGGTGCAGTTTACAAACCTCAGCCATATGGAGCATATCTGGAAGCTGTGAGCCCTCCTGTGGCTGAGTCGCGGCCTCATCTTCCCTATTCCTGGACTCTGGCTCATTTACATGTTCTCAGGTACCCCCTCAGTGCCTGATGGGAGACCTGTCCCAGGTGCCGTCATCCCGGAGTTCTTCACCAGCTCTCCTATGATTAAATAGGGGAGGAGCCCAGCGCGCTGCAGGGCACTGATCGCTTTTAGTGGTCAAAGCATGACTTCTGCCTGCTCCCACCGCCCCCACTCATCAGACTGGTGATTAAAAAACTTACTCACTGGCTGGGCACGGTGGCTCATGCCTGTAATCCCAGCACTCGGGAGGCCAAGACTGGAGGATCACTTAAGCCCAGGAATTTGAGGCCAGCCTGGGCAACATGTGAGACCCTGTCTCTACAAAAAATAGACACACAAAAAAAAGAGCCACGATGTTGGCGCACGCTGTAGTCCCAGCTGCTCAAGAGGTTGAGGTGGGGAGATCGCTTCAGCCTGGGAGTTTGAGGCTGCGGTGAGCTATGATCACACCACTGCACTCCAGTTTATCTCAAATAAAAACAAAGAAAAACCTGAAACTTGTTCACATTTACTTTTCCTTGTTTCCCCTTTTCATTTCCCTTAGAAATTAATACTTTCGGAAACAACCATCTTCGACGTCCTGCCTACTTTCTTCTATCACGCAAACAAAGTCGTGTGCATGGCGTCCTTGGAGGTAAGCAGGAGAGGCCCAGAGAACAGCACTGACCATGCCAGTTCTAGTGTTCACTGCCGCTACCATGCACCTGACCCTAGGCCACATGCCTTGGTGAATGTGATCCTATCCTTTTCTCTTCAAGGTAGCTATGTTAATAGTCCCATCTTACAGAGGAAGGAACTGAGGCTCAGAGAGGTCAAGTGACTTATGCAACGTCACACAGCTAGAAAGTGGCAGAACCAGGTTTTGCATTATTGGGTCTGCCTCATTCCAGATTCCATGCTAGTTACCACTGCTGTCTCATGTCATTCCAGCCTCTTCCAGGCAGGGCACATTAAATACTAATCCCTGAGAGCCAAGTCTGAGGCACCTCATCTAAACTTTCTGACTCACGTGCATTAAATACCTTTGAAAGACTTTTCTGCTTGGAACTGCCAGAGCTAGAGGAGCCCAGGTGACAACTTAAGGTGACCCCCTGCCCCCCGAGTGATGAGGTAGAAGGGCGTGGCCAGTAGCAAAACCCAGATTAGAGCCAGGTGATCCCAGGTGGTCTTGCTCCCGGGAGCAAGAATTCAGGTCTTCTTGAATTCAGGAACCAAGAAGTGTTGTGTTGGTTCCAGGAAATCAGAGTTTTAAATCTGCTCTTTTATTATTATTATTATTATTATTTTGAGACTCGCTTGTGCCTAGGGTGGAGTGCAGTGGCACTATCTCGGCTCACTGCAGCCTCTGCCTCCTGGGTTCAAATGATTCTCCTTCCTCAGCCTCCCCAGTAGCTGGGCCTACAGGCGCCCACCACCACACCTGGCTAATTTTTGTATTGTTAGTAGAGACAGGGTTTCACCATGTTGGCCAGGCTGGTCTGGAACTCCTGACCTCAAGTGATCTGCCTGCCTCAGCCTCCCAATAAATCTGCTGCCCTTTTAGAATCTTTTTAAGAAAATATGTTTTTAACACGGCCCTCTTACCCGGGTCTGCTTTGCTGGCAGTAGTTTTTCCAATATTCTTTATCTTCTGAGCTCAGAGTCTCAGTCCCCTGTTGCCCCCACTTTCTCTTCTGCATCCTTGGGAGCCTGTGAGTCACACAGTGAGAAGGTTTACTGGGTCTTCTGGAGACCATCTTGGGCTTGTTAGCATATTACAGCCACAGGGTCTCCTGGGCCTGCAACTTTTATTCCTCTATGGGTTTCACCTCTGGAAGAATCTTTCTCAGGCCTCACTCTTTGTTTCTAACAGGGAGACCTAATACACCTCTTCTGTAGTTACTTTAAACACAATTTTTGTTTTGTTAGAGACAGGTCTTGCCGTGTTGACCAGGCTGGACTTGAACTGCTACGCTCAAGCGATCCTCCTGCCTCACCCTCCCCAGTAGCTTGGACTACAGGTGCATGCCACCATGCTTGACTTACAGTTACTTTTTAAAGTGCTAAATGCTGTTTGTGTCAATTAGAGATTTTTCTAGGATGCTTTTGGGTTTTTTTATTTGTTTTGTTTTTCCACCACGCCCAGCTAATTTTTGTATATTTAGTAGAGATGGGGTTTTGCCATGTCATCCAGGCTGGCCTGGAATTCCTGGGCTCACGCGATCCACCTGCCTTGGCTCCCCAGAGTGCTGGGATTACAGGCGTGTGCCACCATGCCTGACCCCATTCTTGACAGGGAATGGTGGGAACCTTCCCCAAATTCAAGTTCCCCAGTGCTGGCCAAGGGCAAGTCTTTTAATGGAAAGCAATTATGTCTGCTAATTGCTGTATTAGCTCCTGCTGCCCAGTTCCCGCATTTCCTGTTCAGTTGAAAAGCTTCCAGTGTTTAAACTCCAGAACTGCATTGTCCACTATGGCAGCCACCAGCCACGTGTGGTTAGTGAGCACTTGAACTGCATCCAGTCTAAATCGAGCTGTGCTCTAAGTGGAAAATACACACTCCATTCCAAAGATGTAGTACTGTATGGAGAAAAGAATGTAAACCATCTCAATAATTTCTTATATTGATTACATGTTGAAATGATAATATTTGCATATGTGGGGTGAAATAAAATATATTATTAAAATTATTTTTTATCTTTTTTCTAAGTGGTTACTAGAAAATTTAAAATTATAGGCCAGGTGAGGTGGCTCATGCCTGTAATCCCAGCTCTTTAGGAGGCTGAGGTGGGAGAATCACTGAACTCAGGAGTTGCAGACCAGCCTGGGCAACATAGGAAGATCCTTTCTTTACTAAATATAAAAAACAAAAAAAATTAGCCAGGTGTGGTGGTGCCTGTAGTCCCAGCTACTTGGGAGGCTGAAGTGGGAGGATCCTTTGAGCTCAGGAGTTCAAGGCTGCAGTGGGTTATGATCTCACCACTGTACTCCAGCCTGGGTGATGGAGTGAGACCCTGTCTCAAAAGTAAATAAATAAAATAAAGTTACATACACAGCTTGTGTTATATTTCTGTTGGACAGCACTGCTCTAAAGCAGGGTTTGATAAACTATAGACCATGGACCATATTTGGCCCACCACCTGTTTCTGTAAAGTTTTATCAGAACGCGGCCAGGTACGGTGGCTCATGCCTGTAATCCCAGCACTTTGGGAGGCCAAGGCGGGCGGATCACCTGAGGTCGGGAGTTTGAGACCAGACTGACCAACATGGAGAAACCCCGTCTCTACTAAAAATACAAAATTAGCCAGGCATGGTGGTGCATGCCTGTAATCCCAGCTACTCAGGAGGCTGAGGCAGGAGAATCGCTTGAACCTGGGAGGAGGAGGTTGTGGTGAGCTGAGATCATGCCATTGCACTCCAGCCTGGGCAACAAGAACAAAACTCCATCTCAAAAAAAAAAAAAAAAAAAAGAAGAATGCAGCCACACCCATTCATTTACATGTTGTCCACAGCTACGTCCGTGCTAACAGCAGAATTGAGTAGTTGCAGCCAAGATGATATGTCCCACAAAGCCTAAAATATTTACTACCTATCTCTTACAGAAGTTTATCAACCCCTGCTCTAGAGTTTAGAGTGGATTTTGTGTAACTAGTAACACTCTGAAATATGAGCAAATTTGCTCTTAACTGCTGCTTAGAAATCTTTTTTTTTTTTTAATTGAGGAAGGATTTTTCTCTGTTGCCCAGGCTGAAGTGCAGTGGTGCTATCATAGCTCATTGCAGCCTCAACATCCTGTGCTCAAGCAATCCTCCCACCTCAGCCTCCCGAGTAGCTGGGACTACAGGCGCCTGCCACCATGCCTGGCTAGTTTTTGTATTTTTAGTAGACATGGGGATTTGCCATGTTGCCCAGACTGGTCTCGAACTCCTGGGTTCGAGTGACCTACCTGCCCTGGCCTTCCAAAATGCTGGATTGCAGGCCTGAGCCACTGCACCCGGCCTGCTTACAGATAGATATTTTAGAGGTCATTTCTGGTACCTGTTCCCCGTGAGTGCCCTCAGCTTTTGAGCACACTCTGCAGTGGCCCCTGAGAGAATGTCCGTGTGTTTCTGCCTTGTCAGGTTTACGTGCGGAGGGGCTACATCGCCTATGAGTTAAACAGCCTGCAGCACCGGCAGCTCCCGGACGGCACCTGCGTGGTAGAATTCCAGTTCATGCTGCCGTCCTCCCACCCAAACCGGTATGGAGTGGGACACACCCAGGGACGGCCTGTGTTTCTGTTCTTCCTGACCTCTGTCGTCCTGTCTCTGGAAGGACCTGGCAAGTGTGTTTGGGCACGCTGCTGGGGAGACATCAGCGATAAGCACTTCCCCTGTGGGAGCTCCCTGCAGCGCCATTTTCTCCCCTCTAACATGGTGATAATGCAGAGCCCACCTCCTACACCTGCACTGTTCAGTACAGTAGCCATGTGTGCCTATTTACATTAAAATGAATGCACATGGGCCAGGCGCGGTGGCTCATGCCTGTAATCCCAGCACTTTGGGGGGCCGAGGCGGGCAGATCACTTGAGGTCAGGAGTTCCAGACCAGCCTGGCCAACATGGTGAAACCCCATCTCTACTAAAAATACAAAAATTAGCCGGGCGTGGTGGCACATGCCTGTAATCCCAGCTACTGGGGAGGCTGAGGCAGGAGGATCACTTGAACCCGGGAGGCAGAGTGAGTCAGTGAGCTGAGATTGCCCCACTGCACTCCAGCCTGGGCGAAGAAGCGAGACTCCGTCTCAAAAAAAAAAAAAAAAAGAGGCCAAACACAGTAGTGGCTCACACCTGTAATCTCAGCACTTTGGGAGGCTGAGGTGGGTGGATCACAAGGTCAGGGGTTCGAGACCAGCCTGGCCAACATGGTGAAACCCTATCTCTACTAAAAAAAATACAAAAATTAGCCTGGCATGGTGGTGTGCACTGGTAATCCCAGGTACCCGGGAGGCTGAGGGAGAACTGCTCGAACCCGGGAGGCAGAGGTTGCAGTGAGCTGAGATTGCACCACTACACGCCAGCCTGGGTGACAGAGCAAGAGTCCATCTCAAAAAAAAAAAAGAGAAAAAACAAAGAATGCAAATGAGCCAGCCATGGTGGCCCACACCTGTAATCCTAGCACTTCGGAGGGCTGAAGGGGGCAGATCAGGAACTTGAGGCCTGGAGTTTGACACCAGCCCGGCCAACTTGGTGAAACCCCATCTCTACTAAAAATATAAAAATTTGCCAGGCGTGGTGGCACACCCCTGTAATCCCAGGTTACTCGGGAGGCTGAGGGATGAGAATCTCTTAAACCTGGGAGGCAGAGGTTGCAGTGAGCCAAGATTGTGCCACTGCACTCCAGCCTGGGTGACAGAGCGAAACTCTGTCTCAAAAAAAAAAAAAAAAAAAATTCAGCTTCTCAGTCATACTGGGTGGCTCATGGCTGCCATATTATTTGACAGTGGAGTTCTAGAACATTCTGTCATGGTAGAAAGTTCTAGTAGACAATGCCACCCAAGCCATTGGGAAGAGTCATGAGATAAGGCACATGTAGCATTTTAGACAGTGCCTGGCACAAAGGAAGTTGTTGACTGTAAGTGATCCCGGAGATGATCATGACTAACGCTGTTATTACCATCTAGTGGCATGCCATTGGCCTGGGCACTCTGCTCAGTGCTCCCACACTCTTTTATTTATTTATTTTTTTTGAGATGGAGTCTCGCTCTGTTGCCCAGGCTGGAGTGCCAGTGGCACAATCTCAGCTCCCAGATTCAAGCGATTCTCCTGCCTCAGCCTCCCGAGTAGCTGGGACTACAGGCGCACACCACCATGCTCGGCTAATTTTTATATTTTTAGTAGAGATGGGGTTTCATCATGTCAGCCAGGCTGATCTTGAATGCCTGACCTCAGATGATCCACCCGCCTTGGCCTCCCAAAGTGCTGGGATTACAGGCGTGAGCCACCGTGCCCAGCCCACACTCTTATTTTATTCAGCTCTTATCCTCTATCGGCCAAAAATGTGTTCTCATCCTCGTTTTACAGATGGGAGCCCTGGGCCCTCACCTGACCTAGGCTGAGCTGCTTGTGCACGTGGAGTGGGAATTTGAGCCCAGGCCACACTCTCACCTCCAAGTCCTTTCCACAGCATTCAGGGGCCCTCTGAGCCAGGTGTGAGGGCACCTGTCCTGTCTGTGTCCACTGTAGTCTGCTGTCCAAGAGCTGTAGTTCAGTAGATACCCTCAGTGTTCTCACCTGAGAATATCTTTTTTTGATTTTTTTGAGATGGAGTCTCACTCTGTCACCCAGGCTGGAGTGCAACGGCGCGATCTCAGCTCACTGCAGCCTCCGCCTCCTGGGTTCAAGCGATTCTCCTGCCTCAGCCTCCTGAGTAGCTGGGACCACAGTCATGCACCACCAAGCCCCACTACTTTTTTTTGTAATTTTAGTAGAGATGGGGTTTCACTGCATTGACCAGGTTGGTCTGGAACTCCTAACCTCAAATGATCTGTCCACCTCAGCCTCCCAAAGTGATGGGATGACAGGCGCCACCATGCCTGGCTCACCTAAAAATATCTGATGTGTCTGAGTTCCTCACTCACAGTCTTTTTTTCAGTCCATCTTGTTTCAGGACCCAAAGTATTAATACCATTTAGGTCAGGTAGAGTGGGATACCTTCTCTTAAAGTAATTATGTCTCCTTGGGATTCGAAGTGTTCTCTCTCACGCTCCCTCACCCCTCTGGTTTTAGTTCTTATGGGGGTGCCCAAGGCCTTACCTACGGCGGCATTGATGTCATTGTGATTTGGGAGTTCGGTTGATCAGATCTGTACAGGCAATAGGGTTCATGCTTTGGTGAAGCGGGGATTTTTCTGGCCTCTTAGGATTTTTAAAATAACTTTCTTTTCCTGTTGGTTTTAAGAAGAAAGATGCTGCTATGTTTTGGATGAAGAAAAGGGGGCTTCCCCACGAGGCACTGCCTTTCCTAGTTATTTGTTTTTACCCTTCTTATTTCCAAAAATAGGATTGTGACATTTTACCCCATTGAGAGAAAGGGGACTGACTGCTTGCAGCCTGGGGTCATTCTGGGGATTTGGAGAGCAGTGGTGGTGTAAGATATTTTGTAGCTGTCTACTCCTGAGAAGGACTCTTTTGATTTTTTTGTTTGGTTGTTTAGAGACAGAGTCTAGTTCTGTCACCCAGGCTAGAGTGCAGTGGTGTGATCATAGCTCACTACAGCCTTGAACTCCTGGGCTCATGTGATCCTCCCACCTCAGCTCCCTGTGTAGCTGGGACCACAGGCTTGCGCCACCACACCTGGCTAATTCTTTAAAAATATTTTTTTGCAGAGATGGGGGTCTCACTATGTGGCCCAGGTTGGTCTTGAACTCCTGGGTTCAAGTGATCCTCCTGCCTCGGCCTCCCAAAGTGCTGATATTATAGGCGCGAGCCCCTGTGCCTGGCCTTCTCTTTTGATCTTATTGTCCCAGCAAGTCAGCCCTGTTAGGAAGGGAAGGGCGGCTCTCCTGAGGGCTGTGGGTCATGCCTTGTGAGCTACACGTATATCCAGGTTATTGGTTGTGATTTTCAGTATGGGCACAGGGTCCTTTTTTGACCCAGAGAGACATTGAGGACCCTGGGGGATTCCTGGCCATCTAAGATTCTCATGATTGCTCTCAGTGCCAGAAATGTACTCTGGGCCTGTGAAGAGACCTTGCCTGCGGCTGCCCCCACCAACCAGCCCTTTAATGCCTCTGTAAAGGGCCATGAGGAATAAAGTCTATCCCCAAGATGGCCTGGCTTGGCCCTCAACACTTGTGTGTGTAGAGCCAGGCACATGGTGCTTTAGGTCACCGAGACCCAAGGGAAGGTCAGATGAGAAGTTGGCAGGGCTTTGTGCCAGCTGCAGCCTGGACCTGGACCTCTGTGCTGGGTGGGAACTGGCTACATCCCCCTGCGATGGGGCTGCTGTCCTAGCTCTGCCCACTGTTGCCCTGCAGGAAACTGACCATCACAACCAGACTTCTCCATGATTTTTTCCAGCAGAAGCAGGAAATCTATTTTTTTTTAACCTGAAGTCCTTCCATTTTTCAATGGGGACAGGTAATTCATGTTAAATGAATACATGAACACATGTTAATTCATGTATGTTATTAAAATGCTGCATGGACCAAAGTCATTCTGTGAGTGGCATTCAGCCACACTGCCACTGCAAGTTTGTGACCCCTGGATTGAGCTGTCGGGGAGCAGAGGGGCCATGATCGTGATTTCAGAGCACCCAACAGGAATGCACACACCTGTGTCAGGGTCCCCAAAAGCACCCCCAGGTTCGATCATCGCCTAGGAGAACTCACAGGTCTCGGGACATAGTCATGCTTATAGCTCTGACTTATTAGGGGGCAAGGATACAAAGCAGTTAGCCAAGGCAGAAGGCATCAGGGTGAAGTCCAGAGGAAAGCAGGTGTGCTGCCAGGGTCCTCTCCCAGTGGATTCACGCAGGGTGCACTTCATTCCCCCAGCAAGGAGTTGTGACAACACAAGTGAAGGGTTGTCTTCCAGCCCCGCACCAGGGATTGGTGGCTGGTCACATCACCCTCTGCTCTGCATCGAAATCTCAGGCTTGCAGAAGAAAGCAGGTGTTCAGCATAAACCACACTGTTTGTGCAAACAGTTGAGGCACAGTGAGCCCCCCTTGTCACCTTCAGGGAACGATAGGAACCTTCCCCAAGTCCAAGTTCCCAGAGGCCAGCCAAGGGCTGTCCTTGCAAGCAAGCAGGTCTCCTTTCTCAGAAGAGCAGTGTGGGGCCTGCTGTGCTGACTTCCTGCACACCATTTCATTACCCCTCCCGTATCTGATTCCAAGGCCCAATTCTAACAACCTCAGGTGGCCCATTGAGATTTGCTGCTGGTGAGCAGCCAGTTCTGGGAGCATCGTTGTCTAAACTCCAGAAGGCTGCTGACTTTGTCCCAAGGGCAAGTTTGATGGAGGGATTACAGGGAGCAGAGGACTGGAGTGTCCGTCAGGACCAAGCCTGACTGCCTCACCAGCTGCCTGGGGCTGGTGGATTTCTCCAGGAGAAATTGATGCTGGGAGTGTTTCTTCTCTGTGGTCAAGTTCAGCACTTGGGGCTCCCCTCGGGACTGTGTTGAGACTGGACTCTCATGCATGAATCATTGATTCCTACACTTGTTGAGCTCTTACTCTTCACCAGGTCCTGAGGGATCAGATGAGACCCTCCTCAGGCCCCGGCCCCAGCCATTGTCTCATCCCCTGCCCATTTTAAGCCCCCATTTGGAAGAGCTCTAAATCTGGTCCAGCTCACTGAAGCTTCAGGAGTAGGAGCAGCTCGTAGAGTTGGGTCTGCAAGCAGCTGCCTCATCCCCGACTTGCCATCACCTTACAGGATGACCGTGCCCATCAGCATCACCAACCCTGACCTGCTGAGGCACAGCACAGAGCTCTTCATGGACAGCGGCTTCTCCCCACTGTGCCAGCGCATGGGAGCCATGGTAGCCTTCAGGAGATTCGAGGACTTCACCAGGTACCCAGCATGGCCCGGTCTCCAACACCCTGAGCATGGGGGCTGGGCAGACTTCCCTTGAATCCCCCCCCAATTCACTGGACAGATGGGGTGGGAGAGACCCAGACACGTGGCACAGCATGTCAATAACAACAGAATAATAATAGCATTGTAGCCAAGAGTATGAGCCTACATGTCAGCTTGCCTGGCACAGCACATCAATAACAACAGAATAATAAGAGCATCGTAGCCAAGAGTGTGAGCCTGCGTGTCAGCTTGCCTGGTTTGAATTCTGGCTATGTGCTTTCTAACTAAGAGACTGAGCAAAATATTTTTACCTCTCCATACCTTCGTTTTCTTATCTGTAAAATGGGAATAATAAAGGACTCACTTCATAGGTGCGCCATGAGAATTAAATGAGATAACATATGTGAAATAACATATTTAAAGTATAATTAGTATGCAGATAATATAGTGACTAAATGTTAGCTCTCAATAGTTACTGTTATAGTCTTTTTTCAGCCTTTCACTGTGTGTTCTGCTTTGTGCTTGGAGTATCTTGTGGAATTTTCACAACAGCCTCATGAGGCATAGGGATTACTCTTATTACCTTTCTTTGACTCGGGGTGAGGTGAGGTTTCTAGGATCTCCCAGCCAGTAAAAATGGGAGCCAAGAGTTGATCTCAAGCCCAGCTGATGCCTGAAAGCGCTGGAATCCTTCCCTGTATTCCTGATCACAGATCACTTAGGTTCATTCTTCCCTTTTGGGAAGGACCCCATCACGGGTGCTCTGGACAAAGTAGACAGGGAACCTCCTGAGCTCTGTAGAGTTGGATAAGATCAAAGGGTGTTGGCTGGGAAATTGGGAGGGTCTGGCGTTCCCTGCTGCCTGGCTTGGAAGCTTGACCTCATCCCCATGGGTCAGCAGCCCCTCAGCCCTCCCTCTCTACCCGCACCCCCAGAAATTTTGATGAAGTCATCTCTTGCTTCGCCAACGTGCCCAAAGACACCCCCCTCTTCAGCGAGGCCCGCACCTCCCTATACTCCGAGGATGACTGCAAGGTAAGCGTCTAAGCCCAGGGAGCAACCTGGGGAGCAGGTGGGCCGTGGCCCCCAGGCTTTCCAGCCCTACCCCTTGCTTCTCCCTCTCAGAGCCTCAGAGAAGAGCCCATCCACATTCTGAATGTGTCCATCCAGTGTGCAGACCACCTGGAGGATGAGGCACTGGTGCCGATTTTACGGACATTCGTACAGTCCAAGGTACTCTGGGCGTGCCTCTGGTTTTGGTGGGGGTTCTTGGAGAAGGAGGAGGGGCTGGGCTCGTCGAGGCGGCCCTTGGGGAGGCAGGCGTGCTGAGTACTTCAGAGCCACAGACCTGGCTTCCCACTCTAGCTCTGCTCGCCTCATAGCTGGCGACCTTGGGCAGATGTGGCTGAACGTGGGGTCAGCATTTCTCTCGCTCACGGTGTTGCAATGATTCAATGACAAAGTATATACACGGCTTAGCCAGTCCCAGGTACGGAGGGCACACCCAATAAATAGTTTGGAGATTTTCTGGGAGTGTTTTTGTTGGAATAATCCAGAAACTGGCAGTTTTAAAATGGCTACTTACATTGATGACCAAGTGTGCCAATAACAGCAGGTTGCTCTGTAAGCCTGTGATGCCATTGTATTTCAGCCTGGGGGACAGAGCGAGACCCTGTCTCAAAAAAAATTATATATATTTACAGTATACAATGTGATATTTTTTAATTATCTTTTTAATAACAGCTTTATTGAGACATCATTGACATACTACACAATTCACCCATTTAAAGTGTGCAGTTTTGCAGCCATAAAAAAGAATGAGATCATGTCCTTTGCGGGGACATGGATGAAGCTGGAAGCCATCATCCTCAGCAAACTAACACAAGAACAGAAAACCAAACACCGCATGTGCTCACTCATAAGTGGGAGCTGAACATTGAGAACACATGGGCAGAGGGAGGGTAACAACGCACACCGGGGCCTGTCGGGGGGTGGGGGCCGAGGGGAGGGAACTTAGAGGACAGGTCGGTAGGTGCAGCAAACCACCATGGCACATATATACCTGTGTAACAAGCCTGCACGTTCTGCACATGTATCCTGTTTTTTTTTTTAGAAGAAATAAGAAAAAAAGTGTACAATTTAATATATTTTTAGTATATTCACCAGGTTGTACAACCATCACCAGAATCAATTTTAGGACATTCTCATCACTCCATAGAAAAACCCTGTACCTGTTAGCAGTCACTCCCCTCTGTCCCCAACCCAAAAACCCTCTCCCCACCACAGCCCTAGGCAACCACTAATCTACTTTCTCTCTATATAGATTTGCCTATTCTGGACGTTTCATATAAATGGAATCAGATCACAGGAGGTCTCTTATGATTGACATCTTCCACTTAGCATAATGTTTACAGGTTCATCCGTGTGGTAACATGCAGCAATACTTCAGTTCCTTTTACGGCCAAATAATATTCCATTGTGTCTTTGGTTTTTAATGCAGAAAAATATCCTTGTGGATTATGGACTCCGACGAATCACATTCTTGATTGCCCAAGAGGTTAGTTCACAGTTCATCTCTATGAGTCTTTCCCATTCTCCAAGCCTTGGTGTGTGCCATTTATTTGATATTTATTTTGTAGATTTGGGTGAAAGAGATCATTAGAAAGGAGAAGGATTTCCAAATGATTCATTCTAGAAGTGAATGTAATCGTTTACAATCACTAAATAAGGATGTACATATTTCAGTGCGTCTTGCTTGATTTAATTGTCTTGTGTGTGGATTTCTTTTTGCAGAAAGAATTTCCCAAGTTTTTCACATTCAGAGCAAGAGATGAGGTATGGCCAAAAGTAATGATGTTTTCTCTTCTCTAGCATCTTGTTTTATTTTTTAAGAGATGGGATGGGGCCGGGTGTGGTGGCTCAAGCCCGTAATCCTAGCACTTTGGGAGGCTGAGGCAGGAGGTTTGCTTGAGCTCAGGAGTTCTAGACCAGCCTGGGTTATATAGTGAGACCCTGTCTCTACAAAAAAATTAAAAAATCAGCCTGGCATTGTGATGCAAGCCTGTGGTCCCAGCTACTTGGGAGGCTGAGGTGGGAGGATTGCTTGAACCTGGGAAATAGAGGTTTCAGTGAGCCAAGGTGATTCCACTGCACTCTAGCCTGGGTGACAGAGTGAGACTCTGTCTCAAAAAAAAGGAAAAAAAAGAGATGGGGTCTCACTATGTTGCCCAGGCTGGACTCGAACTTATGGCTCAAGCGATTCTCTTGCTTCAGCCTCCCGAATAGCTGGGACTATAGGCACATGCCACCGTGCCTCCCAGCTCCCTGGCATCTTTGATATTCATGAAGAATATAGTCTGCAGTCCTTAAGGCATCCCCATATTCAAGAATGTAGCAACTTTTGTGTAGACTGCAGTCTTCCTCTGGGATTGTATTTCCATTGAGAGCCCTCTGTTCCCTGCATGGCACTCAGACCTGAGAATCTTGCCCTTTCAGCCTCACTACAGGTTTCTGTCTTGCTTGAATAATTTTCAGTACTTGCTGATGTACTCAGTAAGACATTTTTTCCAAACTGTTTTTCTTATGCTCGTCTAGAACAGTGGTTGGCAAACTCACTTGCAGACCAGCTGCCTGTTTTTACGAATAAAGTTTTATTGGAACACAGCCACACCCGTTGGATTCCACATTGTCTACTCTGGCTTTCACTCTAACAGTAGCAGAATTGAGTAGTTGTGACAGAGCCCGTATGATCCATCAGCCTAAAACATTTACTCTCTGGCCATTTAAGAAAACGTTTACCGATCCCTGTTGTAGAACAGGTAGGTTTATTCCCAGCACTGATTCAAGACCCCACCAAATTCAGCATTTTGCATTTTAATTTATCCAAAGCTTTATTTTTCTAGCTAAGACACATCCTTTTCTTAATGTCTTCATTTTTTTTTTCAGTTTAGTTTCCAGTACTGTCAGTTGCTTTCTTTTCGGGGACCAATTTCCACCAAGAAACCAGGGGTTAGTGGCTTCATGAGAATTGCCACAGGCTGTGACAGATGGAGAACAGCCTGGTCACGCTGGCAGGTGATAGGGACTAGCTAGGTTCCCCCAGGAGCCAGCGCTGCACCCAGCACAACAGGCTTGCAATGCCCATAGCTCTCCTCAGATCTTAGCAAAACCCCAAATATCTGGAGCCCTGGGGGTAGCTTACAATTAGGGAACATCATGAATGCTGCATTCCTGAGTGCCAAACCCATGGACACCAGGGGTCTGCAGAGTAGGGTGTGGACCAAGCAGGGACGCAGCTCCAACGTCACGCTGTGTGTGTATGTGTCTGTCTTCTCTCTCTGGTCCGCCTACAGTTTGCAGAAGATCGCATTTACCGTCACTTGGAACCTGCCCTGGCCTTCCAGCTGGAACTTAACCGGATGCGTAACTTCGATCTGACCGCCGTGCCCTGTGCCAACCACAAGATGCACCTTTACCTGGGTGCTGCCAAGGTGAAGGAAGGTGTGGAAGTGACGGACCATAGGTTCTTCATCCGCGCCATCATCAGGCACTCTGACCTGATCACAAAGGTAAGATGTCGCAGAGCATTTCTTCCTCTCTCAGAACCTGGCCCTCCCTTCCTTACATTCCTGCTCTGTGCTGGGTCCTGGGCTGCATGCTGGGGATGGAGAGTACACCAACACCCAGGGTCCTGCCCTTGCTATGCTCCAGTCCAGGGCAGGAGGCGGACAGCAAAGTGGCCTGTGATCACGTCCAGGCTGGTGGCACTTGGATCTGTTTCTTGTATTATGTGGGTCTCTGCGCATGAGAAGAAAATTTCCAGGATAGAAAAATACTGGTTTGTTCAGGGAATTTCTTAATATTTGCTGACTGAGTGATCGTTTTCCATTGTTTCTTGCATTTAGAAAAGTAATCCATGGCCGGGTGCAGTGACCCATGCCTGTAATCCCAGTACTTTGGGAGGCTGAGGTGGGCGGATCACTTGAGGTCAGGGGTTCAAAACCAGCCTGGCCAACATGGTGAAACCCTGTGTCTACTAAAAATACAAAAATTACCTGGGCGTGGTGGCGTACACCTGTAATTCCAGCTACTCAGGAGGCCGAGGCATGAGAATCGCTTGAACCTGAGAGGCGGAGGTTGCAGTGAGCTGAGATGGAGCCCTTGTACTTCAGCCTGGGGGATAGAGTGAGACCCTATCACAAAAAAAAAAAAAAAAGAAAAAAAGAAACAGAAGTAATCCATGATTATATTGTGAAAATTTTAAATAAGACTGAAAACGATTTTTAAGAACCTAGCGCAAGGACCGAGAATCCTGTCACTGAGGGGCCAGCTTAGTTGTTGACTGTTTCTAGACACAATTCCGTCCCTGAAACCTAGAGTTGTAGGCATAAGTTGCAGATAAGAGCTGAGAGTGGACAGATCATTTGAATATATTATTCTTTAATTGGTCAGTCACTTGTGGACCTCTTTCATTGTTAATAAAGAGTGGTCCACCACATATTATTTCCTTGCATGGATGTACCGTGTATAATTTTTTTTTTTTTTTTACTAATCCCCTATTGATGGAAACATATATATATTATTATATATATAATTATATATAATAATATATATAATATATTATATAATATAACATATAATATACATAATATAATATATAATATGTTATATAACATTATATATACATAATATAATACATATTATATGTATTTATATAAATATATATTTATATAAATGTATATATAATTATTATATATATATATTTTTTTGGAGATGGAGTTTTGCTCTTGTTGCCCAGGCTGGAGTGCAATGGCACAATCTCAGTTCACTGCAACCTCCGCACCCCCGGGTTCAAACAATTCTCCTGCCTCAGCCTTCTGAGTAGCTAGGACTACAGGCACACCCCACCATGCCCAGCTAATTTTGTATTTTTAGTAGAGATGGGGTTTCTCCATGTTGGTCAGGCTGGTCTGAAACTGCCGACCTCAGGTGATCTGCCCACTTCGGCCTCCCAAAGTGCTGGGATTACAGGCGTGAGCCACCACGCCTGGCCCTATTGATGGATATTAAGCTAACTGCAGTTTTTTTGCTACCTGTCAGCTAGATGTTTTATTTTTATTTTGATACAGAGATTTGCTCTTGTCACCCAGGCTGGAGTGCAGTGGCGTGATCTTGGCTCACTACCACCTCTGCCTCCCGGGTTCAAGCGATTCTCCTGCGTCAGCTTCCTAAGTAGCTGGGATTATAGGCGCCCACCACCATGCCCAGCTAATTTTTGTATTTTTAGTAGAGACGGAGTTTCACCATGTTGGCCAGGCTGGTCTCGAACTCCTGACAACTGATCCACCCATCTCGGCCTCCCAAAGTGCTGGGATTATAGGCGTGAGCCACTGTGCCTGGCCAAGCCGTTTTAATAGGTTTTATTATTGTTGAGGTATGGTGAGGCCAACAGATAAGGAGACAACTGCCATCAAAAAGACAGTTTATTACTCATAGTTCCCAAGAAGAAGGGGTTTTCCCTGCCATGGGGCCACATGGGGAGGCTCTGGGGTTGGTCAGGCAGCAGAGGGACAGAGGGGAAGACATGGAAGACGTGGACGAGAGCCTTGATTGTGGTTTCCTGGAGAAGAAAAAAGTGAGGCTGAGTAAACAGGTTTAGGATTGGCTGTGAATCATCTCAGCAGACCCTGGCATATAGAAGCTGTCTCTGGTTCTCAGGAATCTGGCCCTGGGTGATTAGAGCAGGTGGTTTGTGTCCCCAGGTATGATCCAGGGTCAGCAAGGCCCCAGGTGTCAAAGTGTCAGAATGCAGAAAATAGGACACATGTCAATACACTCAACAGCTTTGCAGTCCCTTCGCCTCTGAGAGGCAGGGCTCTGCTGTTCTTGCCTGGCACACTTTTTGGAGGAGGGGAATGTTTTCCTCCTGTCTCTGCCTCTTTGGGGCTGAGTTTCCAGCCAGCTGGGAGTAGGCCTGCACCCCTGGCCTGAGCAGCTGCCCCTCCCACTCTTTGGCAGGAAGCCTCCTTCGAATACCTGCAGAACGAGGGTGAGCGGCTGCTCCTGGAGGCCATGGACGAGCTGGAGGTGGCGTTCAATAACACCAGCGTGCGCACCGACTGCAACCACATCTTCCTCAACTTCGTGCCCACTGTCATCATGGACCCCTTCAAGGTCTCGCCTTTGCAGGGGGGCTCTCACCGGGCTCTGGGTTCACCCTCTGAGCCATGCTGCTTTGGGGTATTGTCTCTTGCCACTCAAGACCTGGGTTCCAGGATGAAACCATGCGTATCTGAGCCTCAGTTGCTGCGGGAGGAGAGCAAACCTTCTGCCATTCAATTCTAGAGCTATGTTTTAGCCATGCCCTGCACGGGAATGCTTTACTTTAAGGATGACAAGCATGCTCAAAATGTCTTTCAAAACAAAATTTTGTCCTTTCCCTGGTTCCAGGCTGCGCTGGGGACTGCATGTGGGTGGGGAGAGACGTGAGACCGTGAGGTCTGTGGCTGAATGTTCCCTGTCAGGTGGCTCTTCACGAGCAGACAGACTTTTATGGTGGTGATTCTGGAATGAAAGAAGCCCCACTTGTAATCCCAGTACTTTGGGAGGCTGAGGTGGGTAGATTGCTTGAGCCCAGGAATTTGAGACAAGCCTGGGCAACATGGAGAGACCCTATCTCTACTAAAAATTTTAAAAATTAAAAAATAAAATATTAAGATTATTAATCAAATTAATATTAATATCGATATATTAATATTATTAAAATATATAAATGTATTTTATTTTATTATTTAATAATATATATTATTAAAAATAATTAATACAATAGTATTATTAAAAAGAGAAGTCCTGATACATCCGTTTGGTATCTGGGGGATTCAGGGGACCCATGTGGAGGCTCTGGCCTCACTAGTTCAGGTAGTTCCAGAAGGAAGCAGTGCAATGGCTTGAGTCAAAGGCATGTAAAGATAGTATAACATAGCAGTACTAGTTCAGTCACTTATCAGCCTCAGTTTCCTTATCTGTCAGTGAGGGATTAGAAAAGCTCGCCTCTCTTGAGTACTTACGAAGGCAAAATGAGGTAGAGTTTTAAATGCTTAGCAAGAGCCGTTGCTTGTTATTAGTTAATACTTTTTGTTGGATACACACTATGTCCCAGGCGTTTTTGCAGTCAGTATATCTCATCCTCTTATTAGTATCAGTGCTATTGCAAATGTCCTTGGGATGTCTTGGCCCTGAAACTGGAATTGCTGTGTTTTGGGGCAGATCGAGGAGTCCGTGCGCTACATGGTTATGCGCTACGGCAGCCGGCTGTGGAAACTCCGTGTGCTACAGGCTGAGGTCAAGATCAACATCCGCCAGACCACCACCGGCAGTGCCGTTCCCATCCGCCTGTTCATCACCAATGAGTCGGGCTACTACCTGGACATCAGCCTCTACAAAGAAGTGACTGACTCCAGATCTGGAAATGTAAGGCTGGCCCGCGCCGTGGGGGTCTAAGTCAAAGCAGAAGCAGGCTGCTTGGGCCATCAATTTGTAGATTAAGATGGCATTTGGAGGCGGTCTTGCCTTGCTCTCCCATGTCATTCTGGGTTGGGGTAGCCCCCTCTGAGTGTTATGTTAAATGTGTTAGCCTTTGAATCTTGGTTTTTCACTCACCTAAAAAGGAGAGTGAATCTCCAAGTTTAATCCATTCTGTGGCCATGTTGGATTTTTGATAGAGACAAGGTGTCACCATATTGGCCAGGCTGGTCTCGAATTCCTGACTTCAAGTGATCTGCCCGCCTCGACCTCCAAAGTGCTGGGATTATAGGCGTGAGCCACCACGCCTGGCCATATGGCCATATTTGGGATAAGTTGTGCACTACTGTGGTTGACTGTAATGCAGTCCTCAGATTGGTTCACTTAGGGAAATACTTTCCCAACCATGTTCTAGGACAGACTTTTGTAAAGTGAATTAAATGTTCTTTTGACTGCCATTTAAATTCCTATGTGTGTACATAAAAATATACATATATATACACGCCATTTTTTAAAGAGATATTGCCTAGACTGGGCCTGAACTCCTGGGTTCAAGCAATCTTCTGGCCTCAGCCTCCCAAGTAGCTGGGACTACAGGCACATGCCATTGTGCCTGGTCTATGCACTTTTTATTTTGGAGTAATTGAAGACTGAAGACTCTCAAGCAGTTGCAAAATTAGTACAGAAGAAAAAAAATAGTGCAGAGGATTTTCACCCAGTTTCCCCCAATGGTAATGTTGATTGAACTTCACCATTGCACATCATTAAAACAGGAAATTGACATTGGCACAGGACTGTTCGCACCAACACTGACCACGTTCGGATTTCACCAGCGTTTCCATGCATGCCTGTTGTTGGGAGTGTGTGATGCCTTGATCACTGTATTTTTGGAACTGCATTCCACAGCCCCTGTTGTCCCTTCTTGTTCTGGCCCTCCACAGTGGTGAAGAAGGGAGTTTTACGTAGCCCAGGCACTCACTTTGTCATGCCATGTGACATGCTTTGCTTCCCCCACCTGCATTTTCATTGAGGACTGGGCAGAAATAAATTGGGGGAGATGTGTGATTCTCTCTCACTCTCTGTTTTCCCTCCTTTCTGGTCCAGATCATGTTTCACTCCTTCGGCAACAAGCAAGGGCCCCAGCACGGGATGCTGATCAATACTCCCTACGTCACCAAGGATCTGCTCCAGGCCAAGCGATTCCAGGCCCAGACCCTGGGAACCACCTACATCTATGACTTCCCGGAAATGTTCAGGCAGGCAAGTCCGGCGGCTCAGACGCGGTACCCCCTGGGTCCTCCCAGCAGACTCCACCAGAACCAAAGCCCATCCTTAATTCTCCTTCTAAAGACCTAGTCTAAAGGACAAGGTCTTGCCAGGTGCGGTGGCTCACGCCTATAATCCCAGCACTTCGGGAGGCCGAGGAGGGAGGATTGCTTGAGCCCAGGAGTTGAAGAACCCCATCTCTACAAAATATACAAAAATTAACCGGGCGTGGTGGCGCATGCCTGTAGTCCCAGCTACTTGAAGGCTGAGGCAGGAAGGATCACCTGAGCCTGGGAGGTCGAGGCTGCAGTGAGCCATGATGTCACCACTGCACTCCAGGCTGGGTGACCGAGTGAGACCCCGTCTTCAAAAAAAAAGAACAAGGTCTGCATTGAAGAAAAAGAAATGAATGTGTTGAGAACGACTTCATAGTATTTTTCTCCAAATAAGACTAATTTATCCCAATGATAAAAGTCATAGGATATAGAAACTTCAGAAAATAAAGGAGGTTGGAACAAAGAAAAAATAATTCCTAGTCCCACACTCTGATGACAAATTGCTTAACATTTTGATGTGTTTCCTTCTGGTCTTTTTAATGGTCATTTATTAAGTACCTGCTACTTACCAGGCACCATTCGAAGTCTAGACAGCTGTGGGAAAGAGGAGGGGGTCACTGCCTTGAGTAATTTTTAGTCTACTCTTAAAAAATAATGTTTTGGGTTGGGCACAGTGGCTCACGCCTGTAATCCCAGCACTTTGGGAGGCTGAGGCAGGTGGATCATTTGAGGTCAGGAGTTTAAGACCAGCCTGGCCAACATGGTGAAACCCCATCTCTACTAAAAATACGAAAATTAACCAGGCGTAGTGGCAGGCACCTGTAGTCCCAGCTACTCGGGAGGCTGAGGCAGGAGAATTGCTTGAACCCGGGAGGTGGAGGCTGCAGTGAGCTGAGATGGCCCCACTGCACTCTAGCCCTGGTGACAGAGCGAGACTCTGTCTCAAAAACAAAAACAAAAACAAAAAAATAATGTTTTATTATGTTTTTCTGATGATTAAAGTATACATAGGAAACTATGGAAAGGTAAGAATAAGGAAGTAAAATTCTATTCATATGTAATTTTCCCACCATCAATGCCTGAAAGAACATTTGGGTGCATTTTCTTCAAGTATTTTTTATGCCTTTATATGTTTATGCCCTAGGGGCTTTAAAGGAGCCTGAACCACTGACATTGGTGATGTGAATGTCTCTTCATTTTCCAGGATTGCTTTGGAATGACATTATATATATATATATATATTTATTTATTTATTTATTATACTTTAAGTTCTAGGGTACATGTGCACAATGTGCAGGTTTGTTACATATGTATACATGTGCCATGTTGGTATGGGATCTAATTAAACTAAAGAGCTTCTGCACAGCAAAAGAAACTACCATTAGAGTGAACAGGCAGCCTACAGAATGGGAGAAAATTTTTGCAATCTACTCATCTGACAAAGGGCTAATATCCAGAATCTACAAAGAACGCAAACAAATTTACAAGAAAAACAACAACCCCATCAACAAGTGAATGACGTTCATGAAACCAAGGTCAAGGACCTTCCAGTGTAGGCAGGAAGCATCTGTTCCTACCTCTGCCTATGCCTCATGCATAGAGGATATGAAAGAGTAGGAAAAGCTGCTCTTTAGAGTAACTCGGGCCTCAGCTCGAATGCTGGATCTGTCCCCTTGCTTCCTGCTGTCCCTAGCCAAGTTCCTTCACCTCTCTGGGCCTCAGTTTCCTCTTCTGTAAAATAAGAATAATAACAGTACCTACCAAAAGTTGTTGGAAAAGTGTATGTATTCAGTGGGCGCTTAATAAGTGGAAACTTATGATTAAGAATGTCATTGTCTGTATCCTTTTGCCTTTGACCTCAAGAGCTATAAGGGAAGAAACATGACTGAACCAGAAGCAAATCCATCGTCTCTTTTTTAGATAAATCCATTGTCTCTTTTTTACAGGCATGAGCCACCATGCCTGGCTAATTTTTTTATTTATAGTGGAGACAGGGTTTCACTATGTTGGCCAGGCTGGTCTCAAACTCCCGGCCTCAGGTGATCTGCCTGCCTCAGCCTCCCGAAGTGTTTGGATTACAGGCATGAGCCACCACACCCAGCTGTCTGTCTGTCTGTCTGCCTCTATATCTATATCTATGTCTATATCTATCTATTTATCTATCTATCTATCGAGAGAATGGAAAACTGAACAGCAGACCAGAGCTAAATTTATCAATATGGATAAATCTCTCAAACAAAGAGGAGTAGAAAAAGTAATTTGCTGCCGGGCGTGGTGGCTCACGCCTGTAATCCCAGCACTTTGGGAGGCTATGGTGGGTGGATCACCTGAGGTCAGGAATTTGAGACTAGCCTGACCAACATGGAGAAACCCTGTCTCTACTAAAAATACAAAATTAGCCAGGTGTGGTGGTGCCTCAACCCGGGAGGTTGAGGCAGGAGAATCACTGAATCCGGGAGGCAGAGGTTGCGGTGAGCTGAGATTGCGCCATTGCACTCCAGCCTGGGCAACAAGAGAAAAAAAAAATAGAAAAAGTAATTTGCGGAAGGATGTGTACAGTGTGGTACTCTTTATTTAAAGTTTGCAGTGCAAAACGATATTGTATGTTTCCAATGTATGCATACAGGATAAAGGAAAATGAAAAAAAAAGCATGCATAGGACTGGGTAGGCACTGAATTCAAGGGAATGGTCACCTGTGGGTTGGAGTTGGGAGGAAGAATGAGCTGGGGCTTCAATCGCATCTTTCTTCTTTCTTTCAAAAACTTTAAACAACTATGGAAAAATCAAGATTTGACAGAGCCACTGGATGGGTGCTCATATTTAAATATGCTTTAAATATTTCATGATTCAAAAAGAGAGAGTGAACTACAGAATTCACCCTGGAATCATGACAGATCATCTCTGTCTGGGAAAGATAGTTCTTCCCTACTGATGACTTCAAGTTTTTTCTCTTTCCTCTTCTCTCCCCAGGCTCTCTTTAAACTGTGGGGCTCCCCAGACAAGTATCCCAAAGACATCCTGACATACACTGAATTAGTGTTGGACTCTCAGGGCCAGCTGGTGGAGATGAACCGACTTCCTGGTGGAAATGAGGTAATAGCTCAGCGGAGCCTAACCCCTGGCTGGAGTCACCCCCTTAAAAATATTTTTGGGCCAGGTGCAGTAGCTCACACCTGTAATCCCAGTGCTTTGGGAGGCCAAGGTGGGTGGATCACTTGAGGTCAGAAGTTCAAGACCAGCCTGGGCTACATGGTGAGAACCTGTCTCTACATAAAATTTTAAAATTAGCTGTGTGTGGTGGTGTGCTCCTATAGTCCCAGCTACTCGAGAGACTGAGGCAGGAGTGATTGCTTAAGCCCAGAAAGTTGAGGCTGCAATGAGCTGTGATTGCACCACTGCACTCTGGCCTGCGCAACAGAGCAAGACCCTGTATCTAAAAAAAATAATAATAACTAAAATAAAATAAAAAGTTTTCCCCCAAAGAAACAAACTCATTTTCCTTGTGCATTCATCCCCTTGCCAGGTGGGCATGGTGGCCTTCAAAATGAGGTTTAAGACCCAGGAGTACCCGGAAGGACGGGATGTGATCGTCATCGGCAATGACATCACCTTTCGCATTGGATCCTTTGGCCCTGGAGAGGACCTTCTGTACCTGCGGGCATCCGAGATGGCCCGGGCAGAGGGCATTCCCAAAATTTACGTGGCAGCCAACAGTGGCGCCCGTATTGGCATGGCAGAGGAGATCAAACACATGTTCCACGTGGCTTGGGTGGACCCAGAAGACCCCCACAAAGTACGTCGTGAAACTGGCGGGGCAGGGTGATTCTGCTCAGCTACTACTGTATTTTCAGTGGGAGTGCTAGCACCTGCAAGAGGTGAAAAAAATCTCACTTATGTATAAAGCACAGATGTACATGTAGTGTATAAACAGGCATACAGTGTATCAGTGATACTAACATTTCACTGTGGCGGGGGGGATGGTGATGAGAAAAAAAAGATCTAAAAAGGCTCCTTAACGGGGATAATGAAAAAAGTCTATAAACCCTGAGCTGATATACACTGAGCGCTCCTGAATGCAGTGTGCACTGAGAATGCAGAGGTGATTGTGTCAACTCCCTGGCCTCATAGCGTTCTTAGAATTATGGCTCACACCTGTCATCCCAGCAACTCAGGAGGCTTGGGTGGGAGGATAGCTTGAAGCCAGGAATTCATGACCAAGCTAGGTAACCTAGGCAGCATAGCCAGACTTCGTCTCTACTAATGAAAAAACTAGGTGAGCATGATGGTGCCTGCCTGTAGTCAGCCTCAGCTACTTGGGAAGTTGAAGTGGGAGGATCACTTGGAGCCCAGGAGTTCAAGGCTGCAGTGAGCCATGATCATCATACCACTGCACTCCAGACTGGGCAACTGAGTGAGACCCCCCATCTCAAAAAAAAAGAAAAATCTTTGGGGAGTTGTATAGATACCAGCTTGCCATAAAAGGCAAGATGAATGAGGGAAGCGCACGCATTCTGTGATGTGAAATGACAGGGGACAGTCATCCTTTCCATTCAGAGCATGCATTCTCGGGGGCGATATTGCCCACTACCCCCAAGAAGACAGAAAAATAATTTTTGGGGTGGCAATAAAATAGTTTTTAACATATATACATATACAGAGTATGTAAATAGTGGTTAAACAGTGTATCTTGAAAATTAAAATTTCATGTTGGGGTGCTGGCAATAAGAAATAAAAATGAGATAGTCCTTAGAGGAGAGCTTAGCTCAAAGCAGAACTTCAGTTTATGGCTGTTATTAATACGGTATTTACATGAGATGTGTTAATGTGTCATTGACATGTTACTAACATGTTATTAACATCCATCCCTACGATGTTCACATTAAGAAAAAAAAAACAGTGGCTTTCAGTGCAGGGAACTGGATTCGTAGCCTCACTAAAGTATTTTTTAAGGGATTTAAATACCTGTACCTGACTCCCCAAGACTACACCAGAATCAGCTCCCTGAACTCCGTCCACTGTAAACACATCGAGGAAGGAGGAGAGTCCAGGTAAATAACTTATCAGGTAGCTCCTTAATTTTGCTCATGGTTAATTTCAGCTGTCTTCTTTCCTCGGGGCTTGTGGCGATATTTTCCAGTGGGGTGGTGGTGTTTGTATGATGGGAACCAATGCCTGTTGGGGGCACTGATGCCTTAAACATTTGTTAAACTCTCCAAGGTGAGTCCATCCTTGTCATTCTAAAATGAGTGACTCCTTTCACAAAAAATAGCACGTCATGTAGGGAGAATGAGATTGGATTCTCGTGAATCTCCTAGGAGCCGCAGGCTCACATTTTGTGACCAAACTGATGCAGCGGTGACTTGGCAAACTGGGAAGGTATGGGTGGGGCAGAGAGAGGTCTGTTCTTCGAGAGCATTCAAAGGCTACTATCTTTTCCAGGACAAGTTATGTTTTTCTCAGTGGGATTAACTGACTCAGGATTTCCTAGACTGGGTTTTTTGCAATGTTAGTGACAAGCTGGGGGGAAATTCCATAGTCAGATGAGTTTGGGAAACACTGGGTTAAATGAGATCTCATAAACATCTTTATTGCAGACCTTCTTAGTACCTGTAGCATGCTGTATTAGTCAGCGTTCTCCAGAGGGACAGGACTAGTAGGATATATGTATATATGAAAGGGACTTTATTAAGGAGAATTGACTCACATGATCATAAGGTGAAGTCCCATGATAGGCTGTCTGCAAGCTGAGGAGCAAGGAAGCCAGTAGTGGCTCGGTCTGAGTCTAAAAGCCTCAAAAGTAGGGAAGCCAATAGTGCAGCCTTCAGTGGCCAAAGGCCTGAGGGCCCCTGGCAAACCACTGGCGTGAGTCCAAGAGTCCAAAGGCCGAAGAACCTGGAGTCTGATGTTTGAGGGCAGGAAGCTTCCAGCATGTGAGAAAGATGAAAGCCAGAAGACTCAGCAAGGCAGCTTACTCCACCTTCTTTCACCTGCTTTTTCTAGCCGCGCTGGCAGCTGGATGACTGGATGGTGCGCACCCACATTGAGGATGGGTCTTCCTCTCCCAGTCCACTGACTCAAATGTTAATCTCCTCTAGCAACACCCTCAAAGACACACCCAGAAACAGTACTTTGCATCCTAAAGTTGACACTTAATATTAACCATCACACATGCTAAAGTGCATTGTGAATCTCTAACAGAGGCTGGCGGGACAGTGTTTCTCATTATGTGGCCCTGGAATTTTTGATTGATTGATTGTGAATGGGTTTCCTCTGTGTACCCCCATCTCTCTGTAGACCGTTGGAGGAATATGGGCCGAGGGTGATATTTCACTGAGACAGCCCCTGAACAGGCAGATATCTTTGGTTGTATAAACCAAAAAGTATCTGAGACAGGTCTCAATCAATTGAGAAGTTTATTTTGCCAAGGTTAGGGACACATCCAGAAGCAAAGAACACGGAATCATAGAAACCGTCTGTGGCGTGTACCTTTCTTCAAAGATGATTTGGAGGGCTTCAGTATTTAAAGGAGAAAAGCAGGCTGGAGGGGAAAGAGGGAAGTTCTGGTAATCACATGTTGCAGGAGAAAAGGCGCAGGCAGGGGAAGTCAGTTATGTATTCTTCCTGCGCTCAGTAAGTCAGCACTTTCTATAAGATAAGGTGGACATAGAGGAACTACCTGTGGAGATATTTCAGCTTTTATCTGTATCTATCTGCTTACTAAAGAAACAAAAGGAAAGGCAGCTTGCACAACTCAGCTTCAGCTTAAATTGTTCCTTTTGGCATTGTGAATCGTGGTCCTAGTTTTTATTTTCCTTTCACAGATGGGAGCAGTGTGATGATTTATTTATTTATTTGAGACAGAATCCCGCTCTGTCACCCAGGCTGGAGTGCAGTGGTGTAATCTTGGCTCACTGCAACCTCCACTTCCCAGGTTCAAGCGATTCTTCTGCCTCAGCTTCCCAAGTAGCTGGGATTACAGGCGTGCACCACCACGCCCAGCTAACTTTTGTATTTTTAGTAGAGATGGGGTTTCGCCATATTGGCCAGGCTGGTCTCAAACTCCTGACCTCAAGTAATCTGCCCGCCTCGTCCTCCCAAACTGCTGGGATTACAGAGCAGGGTGATGATTGTTGATGCTGCACTTGCCCTTTTAGAAATCTTAGCACTCATTTTGAGGGTTCTAGATGCCAATTTCATTTTGCCTCTGGATGCTTTGTCTGCTTCCAATCTCTCACCTTGCTGCCCAGTCAGTCCCTTCTTGGGAAATGCATCCACCTTGGATTTTTTGGGGCTAGAGCCCAGCCTTTAACCTGTGCTTGCTTTTGAAGATACATGATCACGGATATCATCGGGAAGGATGATGGCTTGGGCGTGGAGAATCTGAGGGGCTCAGGCATGATTGCTGGGGAGTCCTCTCTGGCTTACGAAGAGATCGTCACCATTAGCTTGGTGAGTCTTCTTCTATTTTCTCTTACTTTTCAACTTTCCATTATAGAAACTTTAAAATTGTCACAAAATTAGAGAGAATCAATAATAAGCCCCATGTGCCCGTCACATACCTCCTACAGTTACCACATGCCAGCCCACTGATATTTCCTCAATCTCACCCCCATCCCCTGCACCTGTTTTAGAGTATTTTAAAGCCAGCCCCCATCATGTCTTTTCATCCATAAATACGTAAGGGTAGATCTTTAACAGATAATGACTCTCACCCTCTTCCCCCGGTTTTTAAAAACATAACTGAAATACTAATATTACACCCAACAGAATCAGCAATATCATTGAAACCCAGTGTGGTTTAACAGTTATCTCAAAATACCCTTTTCTAGTGGTTTGTTTGAATCAGGGTCCAATCTCATCTTATTTTCAAGGTACTGAATGTTTAGAAGAACTTTTCTCTGACTTTAACTGGCATATAAGGAGTAGTCCCCATCCCATCCCCATGGCCTTTCCAAAAATGTTTTCTGTTTCTAGTAGTAGTACTACTGTAGTAGTAGTAGTAGTACTAGTAGTAATTCTAGTACTAGCAGTGGTGGTAGTAGTGGTGGTGGTAGTAGTAGTAGTGGTAGTAGTGTTTGTGGTGGTGAATCTGTATGGGTCTAAGGCAGAGTGAGAGACCGAGGCAAGTCTCTCAGCAGGAGTGAAAGTTTATTAAAAAGTTTTAAAGCAAGAATGAAATGAAGTACACTTGGAAGAGGGCCAAACAAGGCAACCTGAGAGATCCAAGTGCCTCATCCAACCCTTTTGAGGTTTTATGCATTGGCATGATTCCAGGGTTTGTGTTTCTTCTCCCCTGATTCTTCCCTTGGGGTGGGCTGTCTGCATGCACGTGGTCTGCCAGCACTTAGGAGGGGCCGCATGAACAGTGTGTTTACTGAAGTTGTGTGCATGCTCACTTGAGGCTTTCCTCCTTTACCAGTCGAGTGTTCCTAGAAGAAGGGCACGGTACCAGATAAACTCTGCCATCTTACCTCTTAGCATGCATGCTTGAGCCCACCCACCCAGCTCCTGAGATCTTATGGGGAAGCTGCTTATCACTAGCTTCAGGTGTTTTCTATCTATCAGGAGATTGCCTTTCCCTGGAGCCAGCTGTGACCAATATTAATTTTAGAGAGACACTTTAGCAACTGCCTAACTATCACCTGATGGTTGCCTTCCTCTCCTGCCCTGCTCATGTCTGCTTAACTACCTACTCTAACAGCAGCAGCAGCAGGAATAATAGTACTCTTTAATGATAAACTGCCTTGGAAGGCCTTATTTGTACATGCAATGTTGAATCTTCAGTTTCCAAGTGGAAAATGTTGGTCATAAGCATCTTCCTTGGGCTTGTTTTCTAGATTATATGTATAGTCTTTTTATTTTGAAGTCATCTAGGACCCACCGTAAGTTATAAGATACTACAGAGAATTTCCAAGTACCCTTCACCCAGCTTCCCCTATGGTACTTACATAACCGTAGTACATTATCGAAACCAGGAAACTGACATTGGCACAATATTGTTAACTCAGTACAGACCTTATTTTGAATTTCACCAGTTTTTACATGCACTCCTAGGTGTCCTTTTGGTTGTTAAGAGGCTGCAATGGCCCATGAATGCCCAGGCTCAGAAGAGCTGCACACAAGCCTCTTAAAATCTGAAACATTCACTGTCTGCTGCTTGTCTTTACAGCAATCTTTGTTAACCATGTTATTTCCAGATAGGAATCCAAGCTCAATAAAGTGGCCTGAAGAATAGGCTTTTGCCTCTACTGTGGTTTGGCTCCAAATCGGGTTGCCATTGGTCAAAACATAACTTCCATTTGGTCCCAGCAGGTTCCTGGACTCTTCCCTGCTGTGGGGGGTGGGTCCCTCGCCACTCTCCAGAATTCAGAGGGGGTCCTCTCTCCACAGGTGACCTGCCGAGCCATTGGGATTGGGGCCTACTTGGTGAGGCTGGGCCAGCGAGTGATCCAGGTGGAGAATTCCCACATCATCCTCACAGGAGCAAGTGCTCTCAACAAGGTGACCAAAAAGGGGCCTGTGCAGAGTGGATCCTTGGGGGCCAGGAGTCATTTTAACATTCCCATTGGTCTCTGGTGGGGGATTTTTCTCAATATGAAGCCAGTTTCATTCCTACTGATACAAGAGCTCTTTTTTTCCAATTTGCAGCTATCTGGGTCCTTATGAGAAAAAAAAAATTAGTTTTAGGCAATTCTGGTCGATCTAACTCCCTGTATTACTGACATTTTAAAACAAATTATTGAAGTGCCATTACACATTGCAGAAAATTAGAAAAGGAACCCCCCAAAAAAGTAATTTTGCAGCTTCTATCATTCTGGTATAGTTCCCTCTCATCTTCTGTCTTTATGTGGTTAATTTATAGTGAATATGCAGTTTTGTATTCTACTTTTTTCACTGTATTAAAACATTTTCCTTGTTGAAAAGTCTCTATACTTAATGTCTGCTCAAATCTCAGCCAAAGTCTCAAAGCCTGGTTCTTGAACCAACAGCATCAGCATCAGATGGGAACTTGTCAGAAATGCACATCCTCAAGCCCTGCTGCAGACCTGCTGAATCAGAAACACTAGCTAGGGTTTTGCTTTTGAGATGGTCAAGGTAGAAGTCAGCTGCATCACCAGTTCTCAAATTGGCCTGCATATTGGAATTATCTAGAAACTAAAAAACAAACAAAACACAAAAACTAATTCCTCGAAGATTCTGATATAATTGGTCTGGATGTAGCCTGAGCATCAGGATTTGTGAAATCTCCTGGGTGATTCTAATGTGTAGCCAGGATTGAGAAGCACTGAGATGATTTCCAAACAGGTGGTAGAGCCCTGCACCGTGCAGGACATTGCTAACCATGTTGTGTCAAAGCAGGTCCTGGGAAGAGAGGTCTACACATCCAACAACCAGCTGGGTGGCGTTCAGATCATGCATTACAATGGTGTCTCCCACATCACCGTGCCAGATGACTTTGAGGGGGTTTATACCATCCTGGAGTGGCTGTCCTATATGCCAAAGGTGCAGTACTCCCCCTGCAGCTTAGAACCTGGAAGACTCTTATTAAGCTCATTGGCTAATTCTGTCCCTGTCACCTCCTGGGTGGTGTGGGAGGCTGAGGAGCAGGAAGCACTGCACATGTGGCTGGGGTTGATTTTTCTTACTCCTTCTTCCTTCTCTGATGCCCAGCCCTGTACTAGGTGTCCTTTGCTCTTTTGGTGGCACTAATGCCATTGTAAGGATGCTATCTGTTAATCCTTTAGAAAGAGGTAGTATTGCCTCTTGACAAGAGGCAGCATTGGACAATACTGAGTCTTTAAGCTTTACAGTCAGGCTGGATTTGATTCCTGCCTTCCTCCTCGGTAGCTGTAAGACACTGGGAGAGTCCCTAAGTTTTTCTGAGCCTGTTTCCTCATCTGTGAAATGAGAATAATAATAGCACCTAACTCATGGTGTTATCATGATGATTAAGTGAAGTGATATTTAAAGCACAACGTTTGGTAGGTCCTCACCAAAGTAAGAAGGGGACAATCGTGGGCACAGTTCTTGGTTAACTGTAACATTCCTTACAAATGAGTGAGGTTGTCATTCTTCATTATAACCATTTCTGAGAGGTTGGGTTTACAGAGTTCAGGTCATTCCAGATCTTCTGCCAAGAACCCCAAGTCACAAATGTCAGTTTGTATTCCCAAGTGCCCCTTTTCCCCATCTGCATGCCATCTGTTACCATTCTCTGCAACCAATCTCTTTTTCTTTCTTTTAAGATGTTTTTCCTCCTATCTGACCATATATAGCAGTAGCAACCCTTTCCTGCGTTTCTGTAACTTCCCAGCATCAGTGACACCATCTGAACCGGGAAGCACACTCAGGAGTTCATAAACTAGATTTCAGAAGAATCCATGGGATGGCCAGTCCTTATCTGGCATTTTCCAATCAGAGCAGTGGCTTCAGGAGCCCTAGGGAGGGGATATTGCTGCATAACCAGGCATAATCATAGTCAGAGGAGCAAAGTGCTGATCAGAGGTATTATTGACAAGCACCACAGACTAAGTCAGAGACTTGGCTTTCTTTTTTAGGATAATCACAGCCCTGTCCCTATCATCACACCCACTGACCCCATTGACAGAGAAATTGAATTCCTCCCATCCAGAGCTCCCTACGACCCCCGGTGGATGCTTGCAGGAAGGCCTCACCCAAGTAAGTTCTAAAGTATTTTGCCTAGGACCTGGTCTCGGGTTTCTTTCTAGGGCTTGAGACAAAGGAGCACTTTGTCTCAAGCGCTTGAGACAAAGGCTTGATATTCGTTCTCATATCCCAGAGAGGTATACCTGAAATCAAATGCAGGGAAAGTAGAGAAATGGAGATTTTACTCTAGGCTTTTCCTGAGCCATTGACCAAGAAGGGGTGGAAACAGCCTCCAGTTTCTGGAGCTAATAGATGGAGGTGGGGTGCAATGGTGGTCCTGGTCTCCCTCCCCTGATGCTCCATGCTCCGTGGTCTCTAACTGCCCCACTGTCTCATCAGTAGAAAATTCAGTGCTGAAACATCAGAGTTTCAAAGAGAAGACTGCATCTTTCTCTTTCTTTCTCTCTTACAAAGGAACTCTGTGAGTTTACACAGGATAGGCAATCTGGTCTCCTCTTCTTTTTTTTTTTTTGAGACAGTGTTGCTCTGTCGCCCAGGCTGGAGTGCAGTGGCGCGATCTTGGCTTACTGCAATCTCTACCTCCTGGGTTCAAGTGATTCTCCTGACTCAGTCTACCGAGTAGCTGGGATTACAGGTGCCTGCCACCACACCCAGCTAATTTTTGTATTTTTAGTAGAGGCGGAGTTTCACCATGTTGGCCAGGCTGGTCTTGAACACATGACCTCAAGTGATCTGCCTGCCTCAGCCTCCCAAAGTGCTGGAATTACAGACATGAGCCACCATGCCTGGCCAATTTTACCTCTTCTATACCTACACACACACACACACACACACGCACGTGGACACGTGAACACACATGCACATGCACACACATTTTTGCACACACACATTCTCTCTCTGAAAGGGATGAGTTTCTCTCTTGGAGGTATATTATTTCAGTCTGAGCAACCAGAACACAACAGGAAAGTTGAGCTGCTCCCGTCACTATATCCCAAATCTAGAATTTCACATGCTGCTACCTTTAGACTTGGCTGCTCCTTGGCTGTGCAATGCAGGAGAGGTGACCCTCGGGAGTGTGCTAGACTCCAGCCAGTGCAAGGAGTCCTGTGGCTTCCTTCTCTTGCTTTTCATTTCTCTTGGGCTTTCTGGCCTGTAAACACTGAGGGGGCTGCTTATCTCAATTAAAAAATGTTCGGCTTCTCACTGTCAGGCCAGTCCTCGGCAGATGCTGAAGCTGTGCTGTTGCATGCCTGGGTGCCGGGCCTCCCATGCCTGAGATGCCTCTTACTCTGGCTGCCCCCTCCTGGTCAGAGCCACAGCCATTTACGCTGTTGCATGGATTTAAGTCATCATTTCTTCCCCACCAATGGCTGTCATTGACATCATCATATTCTCTCTCTGTCTCTCTGGGAAATTGAAACTTTTTTCCCAATTAAGTGGTTATGAAGCTGCAGCCAGCAGCTAGCAGGTGAGGGATGAGTTTTTCGGGAAAGGTGGTCCCTTCCTAAAATCCCACCTTCTGGAGGTGTCTGTCCACTCTCTGCATCTTAGGAAGAGAAGGCAGAGACCATGATTAGAATCTATGTGTTTGGAGTTGGCTGGCTGTTGATGGTAGTCACATATTCCATACAGACTGAATTCTTGACTTGGTATATTTATTGCAGCCCTGTTTGTCTTTTGAGGCATTTTGGGAAGGAGGGAAGGGGTTGGGCTGTGTGGTTTTAGGTAGAAAGGGGTATCTGGGCTATGAGGTTAAAGCCAGGCTGTCCTTAGGGAGCTTTTGCACAGCCAGGAGTGTCCTGGGGGCCCCCAGCCACCTGGCCCTCCAGCCTGGGCTTCTGCCCTTCTGTCCACAGCTCTGAAGGGAACGTGGCAGAGCGGATTCTTTGACCACGGCAGTTTCAAGGAAATCATGGCACCCTGGGCGCAGACCGTGGTGACAGGACGAGCAAGGTAATCATGAAGACGGGAGCAGGCTGCCCATGTCTGACTCACCAGGCATTGGGGCCCCGAGGTGTGAGGCCAGGGACCTCCAGGGGCAATTTTCTTCTTGGCCTCAGGATTTTCTAAAAGAAAAAACCAATTTGGGGAATGATTTCTGCAGTGTCTGTGTGTGCCCTTAGAAGGTATCTCAGCCAGCCTCCTCCTGAGGCCTGGGACCCTGTAGTCAGTCCCCAGGCCACAAGGGCTAACAACCCCTTTGGGCATCAGAAGGTGGCCTTGGGTGCTCTCCCCAGAAAACTTCACAGACACTGGCACTCTGAATTCCATCTTAGGAGAGCCATGGACAGGAGCCCTGTTGTATGCCACTGTTGGTGGGAGGCTGCAATGCTTGCATGCTTTCCAAGCTGGGCAGCTCACCCTTCAGCCTTGTAGCTTTCATCTCTTTGGACAGCTCCACCTGCCTGAAAGTTCCTCCTTATAATGAGCCCCGAGCTCCCTCCTCATCATTTACCACTCATTCCTGGTACGATGTCGCAGCTATAAGTCCAGGCTCTGCATTAGACCTGAGGCCAAGCCCCATCTCCATCACTCACCCTCTCTGGTCCTTCACATCTGTAAAATAGGGATAATAATTCTACCCCAAAGGATTATTGTGATGATTAGATGCAATAACATGTGTGAAATATTTAAAATCGACATACTCCATAAGTGGGAATGGCTGCTATCATTTACATCTTCGGCAATAAATACTAAAGTGCAGCCAGGGCCGGGCGTGGCAGCTCACACCTGTAATCCCAGCACGTTGGGAGGCCAAGGCGGGTGGATCACCTGCAGTCAGGAGTTCGAGACCAGCCTGGCCAACATGGCGAAACCCCGTCTCTACTGAAAATACAAAAATTAGCTGGGCGTGGTGGCAGGCACCTGTAATCCCAGCTACTCGGGGGGCTGAAGCAGCAGAATTGCTTGAACCCAGAAGGTGGATGTTGCAGTGAGCCGAGATTGCGCCATTGCACTCCAGCCTGGGTGACAGAGCGAGACTCCATCTTCAAAATAAATAAAATAAAATAAATTATATTTTTAAAAGCAAAAAATAAAAAAAAAAAAATCCACTCCTTCTTCCATGTGAAAACACTTTGATTTGAAGACTGCTCTCCCCCACCCCTGCATCATAGGGTAAACGAGAACCATGTAGTGATGCACAGTTCAGTAGCAAGTAACTGATGTCATGGCATCCCCTGAGCTGAGTCTCTGTCCAGTTCAATATCCCTCAGCCCTTTCCAAGTGCAACTTGATGTCTAGACCAGTGTAGTAGCTGCTGGCTACATGTGATGCTTTAGTTTCATTATTATTATTATTATTTTGAGACAAGGTCTTGCTCTGTCACCCAGGCTGGAGTGCAGAGGCATGATCGCTGTTCACTGCAGCCTTGACCTCCTGGGCTCAAGCAATCCTCCCACCTCAGCCTCCCAAGTAGCTGGGACTAGAGGTGTGCGCCACCACACCTAGCCAGTTTTTTTATTTTTTGCAGATACAGGGTCTCACTATGCTGTCCAGGCTGGTCTCAAACTCCTGGACTCAAGCAATCCTCCTGCTTCAGACTCTCAAAGTGCTGGGATTACAGGCATAAGCCACCATGCCCGGCTCCTTCAGTTTAAATTGAACTAAGTCAAAGTGACAGAGGATGACCTGTTCCATTCCTCACACTTGCCACGTTCCACGTGCAGCCCACAGCTCCTGTATTGGACAGTGCAGATGGAGAACGTGGCCCTCGTCACAGAAAGTTCTAGTGGTTCATGCTGCTCCAGGCCCTATACCATCCCAGCCCTCCTCTGATGGTTCTTGCCTCAAAAAGGGCACCAATAGGTCTGCTACCTTTCGAGGCTCTTACCATTTGGGGGCTTTTTCTTTGCCTTCCAATAAAATAATCCGCCAGATTAAAAAGAGCATTCTCCTCCACGTGCCCTCACCCCCACACCCAGAGGTCCCCAAATGCACCTGGGGTGCTGCCCAGGGCCTGGCTCACTGGTGCTCATTTTCCAGGCTTGGGGGGATTCCCGTGGGAGTGATTGCTGTGGAGACACGGACTGTGGAGGTGGCAGTCCCTGCAGACCCTGCCAACCTGGATTCTGAGGCCAAGGTGAGGGGGCCGGGAGCTGTGGCTGCTGGTTTAGCCAGCGGTACTGTCGAGAGTGGGTCCTGGGCGTGGGGGTCCCATCCCTGCCCTGCCAACTTAGGTGGAGAAGCAGGGGACCCAGTGCAGTCCCTGGCCCTGGGGGGCTCAGTGCCTGTTTCTCTGACACTTTCTCTATGGGTTGCATAAATGGCTGCACCATCTTGCTTCTTCCTCAGCAGATGATAAAGGTCCCTAGAAACCCCTCCCACCTCCTGCCCTGCCTCTGTTGCTGTTTCTGCGCTAGGCCAGGGCACAGACTGAGAAGAGCTCAGGAGTCAAGAGGGCTGGGTTCCAGGGCCGGCTTTACCCCAACTCAGTGTGACCTTGACGAGCTTGGCACCCCTCGGAGCCTGTAAAGGAGGGCAACGGGAACCTTGCTGGGCTGCAATGGGAGGGTCAGCCTGGTCCTGAGCGGAGGAGATGGGGCTTCCATCCTTCTGAGCCCTGGCTCTGGTGCTGGGGCCAGCACAGATCAGATCGCCTGCCATCCAGAGCGAGGTTCTGGCAGCCGTCCCTCTGTCCTGGGTTGTGGTTGTGCAGAGACATCTGATCCCCGCAGCTCTGTGTTCCAGATAATTCAGCAGGCAGGACAGGTGTGGTTCCCAGACTCAGCCTACAAAACCGCCCAGGCCGTCAAGGACTTCAACCGGGAGAAGTTGCCCCTGATGATCTTTGCCAACTGGAGGGGGTTCTCCGGTGGCATGAAAGGTAAGCCCCTCCCTGCCTATGTTACCCCAAAGCCTTGGGGTCAGCACCCAGGACAGCACCCTCTGGGTGGTGATGCTAATGTCCTAGTCTGTGCCCATCATCATCTTAGCTGTGTCTCCCAACAACCCTGAGGAGAAAATATTGTTCAGGTGCCCCACTACCCCGTTTTAAAGATGAGGAACTGCTGGGCACAGTGGCAGACACCTGTAATCCCGGTGCTTTGGGAGGCCAAGGCAGAAAGATCATTTGAGGCCAGGAGTTTGAGACCAGCCTGGGGCAGTATAGCAAGACCCTGTCTCTACAAAAAAACAAAATAAATGTTTAAAAAATTAGCTGGGCATGGTGGCACATGCCTATTGTCCCAGCTATTTGGGAGGCTGAGGTGGGAGGATTGCTTGAGCCCAGGAGGTTGAGGCTGTACTCCAGCCTGGGCAACGGAGTGAGACCCCCATCTCAAAAAAAAAAACAAAAAAACAAAAAAAAAACAATGAGGAACTGAGGGTTGGAGGCAAAGTGTCACTTTCTAGAGGTCACACCATGAGGTGCAGGTCAGGGAGGGGCAGCCCCAGGAGCTGCCGGGTGACCTGGGCAGGCACCTCCCCATTTGGCAAGGTGAGGAGGATGTTTGTCCACCCTTCCCTCTGCAGAAAGCTGCTCTGAGCCTCATGTGACCTTACAATTGTGTGAGGGCTTTTTAAGCCACCAAGCATGTTTTGGGAGAGAGTGGCTGTTGGATCACTGGGGTGTTGAGGACAGAGCTGGATGGGAGGCAGACAGACCTGCTGTGAGTCCTTGTTAACTGGGTGACATCACTGAGCCTCAGTTTCCCTCCTTTGTAAAAGGGGGTTAAGAACAGGACCAACCTCAGAGGGCCGAGGTAAGAGTCTGATGAGCTAATTGCTGACATGCAGTGTGATTGTCAGTGCTGTTATTATTGCATTCTTGTTTTCATGTAGGGTGCCTGGGGACCTGGAGAGATGTGTCTTGGTGGAAGATAAGGGCCATGTTGCCCATGCACATTGGGGAAGGATCAGTGTGACTGTTAGTGAGGGTTTTCTTTGCTGGAAATGGTGGGGCAGGGCAGGGACAGTCATGGGTGAGGGCATTTCAATTCCAGTTGGAAAGAATCCTAGAGATTGGTTTTTCCCTGTGCCTTCACAGATGAGGCCACTGAGGCCCACACTGGGTGAATGACCTGTTCGAGGTCACACAGCCACTTAGAGAGTGATCAGTACTCTCAAATCCCAGCCCAGTGCTCTCCAAGCCTCTCAGCTGGGCTCACTCTCCCAGGACCCCCAGGACAACTAGGGCAGTGGGTTTCATGTGTGGATGAGTGAGGGCCCTGAACTGGGAGGCTGCTTTGCTTTTCAGACATGTATGACCAGGTGCTGAAGTTTGGAGCCTACATCGTGGACGGCCTTAGACAATACAAACAGCCCATCCTGATCTATATCCCGCCCTATGCGGAGCTCCGGGGAGGCTCCTGGGTGGTCATAGATGCCACCATCAACCCGCTGTGCATAGAAATGTATGCAGACAAAGAGAGCAGGTGGGTGTGTTGCCCTTAGCCTGGCTTAGCCTTTTCTTGTTCTCCCAGCCTTGAGAGCCCATGACCTTGGGAGATCATGGAGGGATGCAGTGGCTGGAACCTGTAAGTGGTGGAGAAATGTTGTCTCTTCTTTCATGGTTTCCACTTCCCCTTCCCAAGGAAGTTTGCAATCAAAAAATAAAAAGGAAAGACCAAAAGCACTTGAACTTCCTGGCAGCCAGGATGAAAAGGGAAATATGATGAGCCATTTATCTCTCATTAGACTCTGAGCTATGAGTTCCTATAGGAAATGTTTTATTCAGTTTTATATCCCAGGGTCTAGCACAGTGCCTTACTCTCCTGGTAGGTGGTCAGAAAATACTGGCTAAACAAATGACTGAATGAATACTTGCATGAGAGGATACCGGTTCTTCGCGGGAGAGGTAACCTCCTTGGCACTTTCCTTAGGAGGAATTTATTCCAGAGATTCTTACAGAAAGGATGATGACAATAATGTTCACAGCACAGTGACTGATGACTTTGAAGTGAAAACTACATGCTACACAGGATGTCAAGGCCTCAAGAGTCATTCTACTCCAAATATAGGCACGGCATTCCTGTGTTCACTCCCTCATTCATTTGCTAATTCAATGAATATCCATTGATTACCTCACTGTATGCCAGCCATTCTGGTAGACATTATGATATGGTGGCAAATGGGCCAAGCTTGTCCTGCATTCAGGGCACTTAGACCCTTGTTAGGGACTGCTGAGGTCAGTCCTCCAGGAAGACTCAGGATACTGAGCAGCACTTGAATGGAGTCATTGCTAACTTTTCATGCTGGCCACCAGGAAGCTCAGAGCTACTGATAGCATTCTTCAGGGCTTCTAAGCTGTCAAAAGCAAAAGGGGGCAGGGGGAGAATAAGGGGTAAATAAAAATGTTGGAAATGAGGCCAGGCGTGGTGGCTCACGCCTGTAATCCCAGCATTTTGGGAGGCTAAGGGGGGCAGATCACTTGAGGCCAGGAGTTCAAGACCAGCCTGGCCAACACAGTGAAACCCCGTCTCTACTAAAAATACAAAAATTAGCTGGGCATGGTGGTACACGCCTGTAATCCAAGCTGCTCGGGGGGCTGAGGCAGGAGAATCACTTGAACCCGGGAGGCAGAGATTGTAGTGAACCGAGATAGTGCCACTGCACTCCAGCCTGGGTGACAGAGTGAGACCCTGTCTAAAAAAAAAACAAAAAAAAAAAAAAAGAAAGAAAAGAAAATGTATGTTGGAAATGGGAGGACAGCTCACACAAGACTACACTGGGCTCTCAAGGTGCTTTTGTGAGATTTAAAGCGATCAGAAACAGTGCCCCTCCTCTAGGAGGGCAGAAATTAGCAAAGTTAGAGAGGACTGTGGCTGGAGAGCAGGAGGGTTATGCTGCCATGGAAAAAGTCGTACACTCTTAGACCTGAAAGGGGCCCTCCAGAGTTCAGAAAGCATTATTTTAAACAGTTGGCTCAGTCTTTCCATCTGTGGGTAAAGATACAGAGGCCCAGAGAGGGAAAGTGACTTGTCTAAGGGCACACAGCATGTGTGGGGGTAAAAGAGCTGAGGACTGACACCCAGATCTTCTGGCTCTCTTCCCTCCAGCTCCCCCCACATCCATTAGCCCTTGCTTGCTGGGCAATGCCTCATATACCCCCATCCCTGCCTCTTCTCTTTTAAGGGGTGGTGTTCTGGAACCAGAGGGGACAGTGGAGATTAAGTTCCGAAAGAAAGATCTGATAAAGTCCATGAGAAGGATCGATCCAGCTTACAAGAAGCTCATGGAACAGCTAGGTAAGGGGGTCCCAAAGGCTTCACCTCTCAGAGGTCAAGAGAGGCCCAGCTGGCCCACTGCTGGGGGTTTCTAGGATGTTAAAAATAAAATGAAAAAATACCAAAATACAGCTATAATAACTGTGAGATTTTTAAAGATATTCACATTTGTCTGTTTGTTTTGTTTTGTTTTTTTGAGGTCTGGCTCTATTGCCTAGGCTGGAGTGCAGGGTGCAATCTCAGCTCACTGCAACCTCTGCCTCCCAGGCATAAGCCATCCTCCCATCTCAGCCTGAGTAGCTGGGACTACAAGTACGCAACACCATGCCTAGCTAATTTTTGTATTTTTGTAGATGTGGGGTTTCGCCATGTTGCCCAGGCTGTTCTCAAACTCCTGGGCTCAAGCAATCCACCTACCTCAGCCTCCCAAAATGCTGGGGTTACAGGCATGAGCTACCATGATTGGAGGACATTCACATTTCTAAATCAACCTTTTTAACATTATATATATATATATATATATATATATATATATTGCCATCGTGAATTTATTTCTCAGCATACACAAAAGATAGCAATTGAAGTATTTGGGGCTGATGGGGATTATCAGAATTTTGGTGGCAAAATGTTCCTTTAGAATTCCCAATCAGAGATAAGATATTTTACTAATTTTGTTTGAATGACAGCTTTGTTTTACTTGTCATCTTTAGATGTAATTATCTTTATTTATTTATTTGTTTATTTTTGAGACAGAGTCTTGCTCTGTTGCCCAGGCTGGGGTGCAGTGGCGCAATCTCAGCTCACTGCAACCTCTGCCTCCCAGGTTCAAGCGATTCTCATGCCTCAGCCTCTCAAGTAGCAGGAATTACAGGTGTGTGCCACCACACCTGGCTAATTTTTGTGTTTTTAGTAGAGACAGGGTTTCACCATGTTGGCCAGGCTGGTCTTGAACTCCTGGCCTCAAGTGATTTGCCTGCGTCAGCCTCCCAAAGTGCTGGGATTACAGGCGTGAGCCACTAAGTCTGGCCACAAGATGATATTTAAATATCCATTTTAAGTGTCAGTGTCTTTATAACTGTGCTATTCACAAGATTTTTTACAGTGTGTGCGTGTAATTTCTTTGGCTGGTATCAGGGTAATGCTGATCTCATAGAATGAGTTGAAGTGTTCGCTCCTATTTTCTGAGTTTTTGCAGAATTGGCATTATTTCTTTATGTTTTTGATAGAGGTTTTTACCTATAAATTCAACTTCTTTGTTATATATAGGACTATTTGTGTTATCTGTTTCCTCCTAGGTGAGCTTTGGTGGTTTGTGTGTTTCAAGGAATTTGTCTATTTCATCTTAAGTTGTCAATTTGGCATAGAGTTGCTTATAATATTCCCTTATCATATTTTACAATGTGTACTAAAAATCATTGATATAGTATCCTACAAGCACGATGGGTCTGATGGAAGGGGAAAATGTAGAGTTGCATGTTGAATGCTGTCTTGCAATTGTGAGTGCATTTCTGAGACTGTACTAGCTATTTGATCTGAGACAAAGGGGGCCATCAAGATGGGCCTGGGGTGGGGGCCAGGCCAGTGGACTCTGGGGGACCTAGGGGGCTGAGGGCAGCCTGTGTAGCAGCAGGGGTAATATCAGAGTTAAAGCTCAGACCTCTCACAAGGCAAGGCCTGTCCTGCAAATCCTGATTTGTGCCTTCTTCAAAAAAAAAAAAAAATCTCCACCCCATCACATATGACCAGCTTCCATGGCTTGACTGGCCTTTCTGCTCACCTGCAGGGGAACCTGATCTCTCCGACAAGGACCGAAAGGACCTGGAGGGCCGGCTAAAGGCTCGCGAGGACCTGCTGCTCCCCATCTACCACCAGGTGGCGGTGCAGTTCGCCGACTTCCATGACACACCCGGCCGGATGCTGGAGAAGGGCGTCATATCTGTGAGAGCCACAGCTGCCGTGTAGGGTGCAAAGAGCCCACCCTGTTTTCCAAAACATGGAGGACATTTGGGCTCGGGGGCGGGGAGGGCGGTGGTGGTTGGGATGGGTCAAATGCTGCAGGAGGTGGGAGTCACCTGGGAACTTTAAAATAATCCCGATCCCCAGGTGGCACTGCAGACCAGTGAAATCCAAACACCTGGATGGAAGCCAGGCGGTCGTATTTTTTAAAGATCCCCAAGAGATTCTAATAAGCAGCAAAGTTCAGGGACCACTAGTCTGATGGCTCGGTCAGTTTGGACCTGGACCAGGGGTAGAAACCGTTGTTCCTGTCCAGCATTCACCCACCCCTCACCATTGCAAGGACTCCCACAGTCACCTCCTACCCATGTCCAGTGCTCATTGGTTCTCTTGCTGCATTGTTCTCCCTCCCAGCTGACTCATGCCTCACACGAGCCTGTGTTTGTGTCGGTTGAGGTAGAAGTGGGTGCCAGGTTTTTATGGGGGACATTTTTTCAACTATGGCCAGTCTGGAGTCCTGGTGACGTCCTGCCTCTGAGCAGGTGCCTTCTCCTCCCTGAGCCTCAGCTTACTTGCCTGGGATGATCTGGGAATGATCTCAGAGCCTGGGCCCAGCCCCGGGCAGCCACTGTCATGGGTGTGGTCAGAGCCAGTGTCCCGTCTCCTCCTTCCCTTTCCGGGGATTCAAGCCTGGCTCGTCCACAGGACATCCTGGAGTGGAAGACCGCACGCACCTTCCTGTATTGGCGTCTGCGCCGCCTCCTCCTGGAGGACCAGGTCAAGCAGGAGATCCTGCAGGCCAGCGGGGAGCTGAGTCACGTGCATATCCAGTCCATGCTGCGTCGCTGGTTCGTGGAGACGGAGGGGGCTGTCAAGGTGGGCCTGGGGTGAGAACGAGGCCGGTGAGCACAGGGGGTGCTGGGGGCTGAGACAGCTGGCCCACAGCTGGGTCCCTCTCTGAGGCATCCTCTGCCCCCTCCCCAGGCCTACTTGTGGGACAACAACCAGGTGGTTGTGCAGTGGCTGGAACAGCACTGGCAGGCAGGGGATGGCCCGCGCTCCACCATCCGTGAGAACATCACGTACCTGAAGCACGACTCTGTCCTCAAGACCATCCGAGGGTGAGTGGCCACCGCACCTGCTTCCCAGCCTCCTGGCAAGGACCCGAGCCTGGATTGACCCCTAGCTACCCGACTCCTATGCAGCCACTTGAACCCGCCACCCTGTGCAGTCTGGGGTTGTCCCCGCCCCCTCCCCGCTCCCCAGCAAAGAGACCACACTCCCTAATGTCGGGTCTCCCAGCACAGTGGCTGGGGTGGGACAGAGAGCCTAGAGGTACTCTGAAGGCCGTGTGAGATGCTTCCAACTCATGAACCTTGCTGGAATATGGACTTGTCCAAAGTCACAGCTGGAGCAGGGTTGGTCACAGAACCCACATTTGGAACCGCTAGCCTTCAGGCTGCTGTCTTCCACGCCAGTGTTGACCTTTCCAGAGGGTCCCCTCCCCCAATTGCCATGGGGTCACCCCGTGAAGGAGGGAGTCGAGCACAGGGGACCCCATTTTGGGGATGAAGCTGAGACTCAAGGCAGTGTCTTGTCTCAGGTCATGTCACAAAGCAGTGACCAGTAGGGACGGTGGTGCCTCAAGGCATTCTGAACTTCAGGTCACAGCCCCTCCTGCTGCACAGGACCATCACCCCCATGGGGACCACAGCAGGGACTCGGGAGCTCTGGGTTCTGGGGTGTGGCCCCACACAAGGACTCTGCCACCCTTGGGGCCACTGAAAAAGTGGCTGGAGTGATCCCAGCCCTCCTCTCACCTCCCCCACAGCCTGGTTGAAGAAAACCCCGAGGTGGCCGTGGACTGTGTGATATACCTGAGCCAGCACATCAGCCCAGCTGAGCGGGCGCAGGTCGTTCACCTGCTGTCTACCATGGACAGCCCGGCCTCCACCTGACCGTGGCCCGCCCAGCCACTCCCGGGACCACGGCAAAAGGAACCACCCAGACCCACCACCCGTACACCCTCAGCAGACCCTGAAGACTTGCTTTTAAACAAAGAAAATCCTGGGCACTTCTGCAGGGCTGCTGGTTCCGAGCTGACACCCGTCTTAACAAAAGGCCCAGGAGTGCCTCTTCCAAACAAAAACAGCCTCCTCTCCATAGCTGGGAAGTTTATTTTGTTTTGTCTCTGAAGACAGCAGTTTTATTGCATCACTAAATCTAATCAAGCTAAAACATCCCTGTTTCCTTTTGCAAAACAGTGCCTGGCATGTGGGATCCAGGCGTTCTTTAGGATCCTTGGATACCACATCGTGAAATCTTTTATTTTTTTACTCTGAGACCAGCACCAGATGTAAGTAAGCATCTCATATATTTCAGCCAAATAAATGGGCCAAGGGAAAAAAATATATATATATAGACAGGACTAGAGAAAACCTATTTTTGTAATGATGTTTCTTTGGATACTGTCTAGTCACCCAGAAAAATGTATGGATGAATTTTTTTTTTTTTTTTTGAGACAAAGTCTCACTGTGTCATGCAGGCTGGAGTGCAGTGGCATGATCTCACTGCAACCTCCATCTCCTGTCTCAGCCTCCTAGATAACTGGGATTACAGGTGCCCACCACCATGCCCGGCTAATTTTTGTATTTTTGGTAGAGACAGAGTTTCACCAGGTTGGTCAGGCTGGTCTCAAACTCTTGACTTCAGGTAATCCACCCACCTTGGCCTCCCAAAGTGCTGGGATTACAGGCATGAGCCACCATCTTCAGCCAGATGATTTTTTTATTGAGAGAGTGAAATGCTATTTTGTTCCCCAAATGGCGCTAGTGAATCACTAGGAGGGTCCCACTGATAGGCCATGTTTAGCACTGGTTGCCAGGGATTCTCTTTTTGAGAGAGGGAAAGCAAAATGAATGGAAGTACCCAGCTGGAGGTTTCAGGGCTTCTGGAGGATGCTCTCGCATAGCTCGAGGTCCTCTGCCCACCTCTTCTCTCCAAGGAAAATGAGGACTGCCCCTTCCCCCTGCAGGATTGGCCCCCAGCCTGCGCATGCACCCTCCTCTTGCCCAAGTGGGGAGCACAGAGGCGGAGAGGAATCCCTTACCACACCCACGGCCCAGCTTGCTCACGAGTGTCACCTCTGTGACGGTCACCACTGCTCCCTTGGAGGGCCACTTGAGTTACTGTTGCTTCCTCGCCTGCTGGCTTGATGAGCACCGATGGTGGGATCTGACCCCGAGGGGCAGAGCTGTCGGTGACTGAGGACTGGACTGTGGTGACCATGCCGATTTGCTCAGGGAGAACGTTGCAATGCACCCAGCAGCTCCTGGCTCTGCAGGCGGCACAGCCTGGGGCCCTGTGATCCTCTGGTTTCTTCCATTGGGGCGGAGTCGGGGATGGAGGGAGCTGGCCACAACCCACTGCTCTGATGGGTGGTTTGTCCAAGGATGCTGAATGTAATGCCTGGTCAATGTGGAAGCCCATGAGGTTGCCCAGGGAAGCCTCCAAAAGCTGGGATGCTTGAGGGTATCCAAGTTGAAAAAGACAAAATCTGACCATCAGCCAGTGACAGTCCTGGCAAATGAAGGTGGGGCGGGGCAGTGAGGGGTGGGAGAAGGTGAATGATTCATTATTCCACCCCGAGGTTTGCTGGGGTGAGGGGAAGAATCGATGCTGCTTTGGGAACTGAAGGTTTTTCTGTTGGGAAGGCCCTCTTGGTTTTGGAGAGAAAGACAAGTTATGAGTAGCTGCTACCCTGGAACGGTGGGCAGAGAGCCTACTAGGAAATGTGCAGAATAAACTATTTTTTGAAGGAAACACTTTGGCCTTGACTTTATTATCTGGATTGGAGAAGGCAGGTTGCCTCCAGGAGCAAAGGTAGGCGTTCACCTTTGCACCCTCCATTCCTGACACCACAGCTGAGACCTTGAGTGAGTTCCCATCACAGGGGCAGACGGGGATGCAGTGAAGGAAGCTGAAGGCTAGACTGAAATGGACAAAGTCATCCCTTTTTGAAAGCACTGGGGAAAAATGTTTTAGAAAATTATATGCAAGCCTAGTCTATACCACAGGCAAAAAGGGAGCTTCTCTGGAAGAAGGGGTTGGGGGTTGGCCCAGGCACTTCACGTGCGAGTTCCATTCCTTTCCACCACCTTGATCCACCCCTGTTGTGCAGATGAGGAAGCTGAGGCACAGAGAGGTGAAGGCATTTGTCCATGGTTATGCAGAGACGGAATCAAGTCTGCTTGGCTCCAGAACCCAGCCCTTTCCTTTTATGACCTAGGTCCTTGGTGGGCAGGCTTAAGCCACACTTAGGAGTTGGTTTTACATGGACCCAAACTGCAGAAGAACCCCCTACCCGCCCCCCACCGTGGCTTCTCAGCACACAGTGACTATTCAATTTTGTCTCCAAAACACGTAACAACAACTGTTACCTTGATTCTGCCTGACACCTTTTCCAGGCAATTCCCCCTCACCAGGGATGGGCCAATCAGAGTTCTCCATTCCCCCTGACAGTGACTGACGCAGGTATGGGCGTGTATCCCCAGTAGAGCCGATCAGAATTCTTTAGGGATGGCTGACAGTGCTGATGTGGAGAGAACCTACCAATGCAGGGGGAAGCCAAGCCCAGAGATAGAGGGGGAGATCCAGTCCTGTTGGTGGTACTTGGATGCCTGGATCAAGCCATGCCTGAAGTCAGTAGCCCAGTCCCAGGAACCTATCCATGGTTTTTGTTTGTTTGTTTTAATGTTTGCACTAGTTTGAGTTGGAGCTCTATCCTTAGCCCTGGAGATGGCCCAGTTAGCCCAGAAGACAGCAGTTAATTTCCACCCACAGCAGCACCTAATGGTGGTCTGTATCAGCAGACCCTCCAGGCAGGGAGGCGAGGACCTGAGAACAAGCTGAAATGCAGCCCTCTGGGATGGGGAGGAGGAAGCTCTGATTTGGTTTTGCATCCTGAAGACTACAGGTCAATTGTTTGTTTTCATCCGGATTTGAAACCCGGACACAAGTTGCTATCTGCTGCTAAGGATGCTGGAGTTTACTCTGTGGACATCAGCTGAAAGTGCTTTCTCTGACAAGGCTAACTTTTCTCCCTTGAAGGACTTAGTGTAGCCAGTCACAAGGGGAAGGGAGAAAGGATCAGACAACTGAGTGTGGACAGAGGTCTTGTTGGGCAGGTTGGGTGCTAACTGAACACTCCCTACGATGGCCACTGGTCACGTGCCAGGTTCTGGCCTCTTTCCACACAATCCTCATGTGACCCTTGGAGGTGGCTGCTACATACACTCTATCCTCATTTTTTTTTTTTATGAGACAGGGTCTCGCTCTGTTGCCCAGGCTGGAGTCCAGTGATGTGATTTCAGCTCACTGCAGCCTCAACCTCCCAGGCACAAATAATCCTCCCACCTCAGCCTCCCGAGTAGCTGGGACTACAGGCATGCACCACCATGCCCAGCTAGCTTTTTTGGTTTTTGTAGAGACAGGGTCTATCTATGTTGTCCAGGCTGGTCTCAAACTCCTGGCCTCAAGCGATCCTCCCACTTCAGCATCCTGGAGTGCTAGAATTAGAGGTGTGAGCTGCTATACCCAGCTTCTATCCTCATTTTTATAGAAGAGAAAACCCAGGCTCAGAGATGAGCAGACTTCTCCAAGTGCACATAGCAGGTAAAAGGAGGGGCCAGGCTAGGAACCCAGGCTGGCTCAGACCCAATCCCCCTGGGCTTAATGCCTTTCCGTAAATCCTGAACCTTTGCAAGGGTTAGATCCCAAAACATGAGAGCATCCTGTAGACCAAGCTCCACTCCTCCTGCCTCCCTGACTTCCTGGCTAATTCAGCCAATGGCATCATTCAGATCCTCATCAAAAGCCTCATGCTCTCCATGCCAAGAGCCCACACTAGGGTGGGCTGCCCTCTTTCCCGATTGGCAGATTTTTCAGCCCTTGATTGGCAGATTCTGTAGCCCCTAAACCACTCAGAGGAACCTCACATTTCTGCATGCACAGTGGGCTCCTCCACATCACAAATGTAAATGTGGACTGGGTTATCCCCATTTCTACTCCTTTCTTTGGCCTCCCCAATTGATTATTTTATTTATTATCTTGTTATTTTGCCTTCCTCTGCTCCAAAAGTCAGTTGGCCTTTTTTCTCAGGGTCATTCTTTTCCCCTAACGTTTTACTATGAAAATTTCCAAATGCCAAAAAGTCAAAATATTTCATAGCACTCACCCCAACCCACCATCTTGATGCCACCATTGACATCTGACTGTGCTTGTACCTTCTTTAACACCATTCTCTCCATCTGTCCATCTCTCTGTGAATGCATGTTATTATTTTGTCACATTTCAGAGTAAATTGCAGACATTAATACATTTCTCCAGAGTTATTTTTGCATTTCAAAACCAGTTGTTTGTTTTGTAAATCACTTCCTGAGCTTTTTTGCAGCTGAGAGCACATCCAGATCAACAGAGCTGTGTTGAGACGAAGCAGCCAGCCGCGTGGCCAGAGAGGGAGCTCCAGTTCTCACAGTGCACACAGCACCAGAAAAACGCTTTTTTTCCATTATTTTATGAGCATATGCCACAGGCTGAGCACTGTGAGAGGGTGCTGCCATGAGCAAGGCAAGCCACTCCTGCCCTTGGGGACTGATATCCTGGGGTTCCCAACAGGTAGAAATTGCAAGTGGCTAACCATAAGGAGATGTTTAGGGTCACGACTAGTCAAAACAGTGACTGTTAAATCCAGAAATGTCCAGGGTCCACTTTTCAGAGTTCTTGTGACAGGAACGTGATAGAGAAGAGAACAAGGACCATCCACACAGGCCACAGAAAGGTTCTGAATGACCACCACGCACAGCAAAGCCTCCCTATGGCTTCTGCTAACTCAACCAGTGTGGACAAATCAGCCCTCTTCTGGGCACTGGCCGTGCAGCCGATGCACCGAGCCACGCTGCTTGACGTCCAGACAGATCTGCCGAAAATGCCACTTCCTTGTACTAAGTGCCCTTGGGACAAAAGTATCACTCAATCCCATAAGACATGGCATGAGTCCTGGGGCCCAACTTCAGCTATGCGAGAGCATCTTGTTACTACCGTGAACCAACCAGTCTAAACTGTCAGTTCACCTCCAGGTGAGCACTGGCTGTTTCTCCTGGGGAACCTCTTCCCCCTTGGCCTTTGTCTGGCTGACTCCTACTCATCCCTCAAAACCCAACTCAAATGGCACTTCCCCCAGGCAGCCTTCTTTGACCACCTCTCCCATGGGTTGGGAGCCCTCCTCTGTGCTCTGACAGCCCCTGTTCTCTCTCTTTTGTGCAACATATGTGAAACAGATTTCTAACTAAAACACACAGCTAGGGATCCCTAGGTGTTTCCGGTTGCTGAACCAGGGCTGGATTTTGGAGAACAGTCTGCTGACAGAGAGGTGGTCCTCTCCTGGGAGGGGAGGTGAGAGGATGCTCCTGAGGATGTTCTGTATTTTGTAATACCCTGACCAACGCGGTATGTCTCTGGATGGAATACTGTGTAGGAAACACAGGCAAAGAGCCTACATGTTTTTTTGTTTTTGTTTTTTTGAGACAGAGTCTTGCTCTGTCGCCCAGGCTGGAGTTCAGTGGTGCAATCTTAGCACACCACAATCTCTGCCACCTGGGTTCAAGCGATTCTCCACCCTCAGCCTCCCAAGTAGCTGGGATTACAGGCACATGCCACCATGCCTGGCTAACTTTTGTATCTTTAGTAGAGACGGGGTTTTGCCCTGTTGGCCAGGCTGGTCTTGAACCCCTGACCTCAAGTGATCCACCTACCTCCACCTCCCAAAGTGCTGGGATTATAGGTGTGAGCCACCACACCTGGTCTAGTATTTTGTATTTTGTATATTTTTATTGTGGTAAAATATACATAAGAAAATCTTAACCATTTTTAAGCGTATAGTTCAGTAGTGTTAAGCGCGTCCACACTGCTGTGCAGTCCATCTCCAGAATGCTTTTCATCTTGCAAGAGTGAAGCTCTGTACCATTAAACACTAACTCCCCACTCCCCTCCCCTCCCAGCCCCTGGCAACCACCATTCTACTTTCTGTGTCTATGAATTTGACTACTCTAGGTACCTCATGTAAGTGGAATCATATAGTATTTGTCCTCTTTGTGACTGGCTTATCCCACTTAGCATAATGTCCTTAGGGTTCATCCATGTTTAGCATGGGTCAGAATTTCCTTCCTTTTTAAGGCTGAATAATACTCCATTGCGTGGCTAGAGCACAGTTTATGTATCCACGCATCCATCAGTGAATTACTTGGTGGCTTCCACCTTTTGGTGGTTGTGAATACTGCTGCTATGAAAATGGGGGTACAGAGTCAGGTGCAGTGGCTCGCACCTATAATCCCAGCACTTTAGGAGGCTGAGGCGGGTGGATCACCTGAGGTCAGGAGTTCAAGACCAGCCTGGCTAACAAGGTGAAACCCCATTTCTACAAAAAATACAAAAATTAGCCAGGTGTGGTGGTACGCACCTGTAGTCCCAGCTACTCGGGAGGCTGGGGCAGGAGAATGGCTTGAACCTGGGAGGCAGAGGTTGCAGTGAGCTGAGATCGTACCACTCACTCCAGCCTGGGCAACAGAGCGAGACTACATCTCAGAAAAAAAAAAAAAGCAAACGGGATTGCTGGACCTGGCGGTAATTCTTTTTAATTCTTTGCACAATCAGCATACTGTTTTTCCAACGCTGCTGTGCCATTTTACATTCCCACCAACAATGCACAAACTTCCCTAATTTCTCCACATCCTTGCCCATACTATTTGTTTTCCTCTTTTTGTTTTTGGTTTTTATGTGTTTGTTTGATAATAGCCATCTAAGGGGTGGAGTCTAGAAGCAATTGAACTCAAAAGTCATTGCACCTTTTTACTTGCATGCCTCGATCGTCACGGACGGGATATATAGACCCCACCTGTGACCCGGACATCCAATTCCTCTGCCTCTTGCTTCCCTCGCTCACCCAGCTGGCCCCGCCCCGCTGCAGCCACGCCTCCCTCTCTTCTCTCCCACCTGCTCCCCATTCTGCGATGATGCTGAAATCCAGACGCCCGCAGACCCAGGCGGTGGCAGAACTCCTGGGGGCCGGTGGAGAAGGAAGCAGCTGGCCAGCCAGGCTCATTCTCCGTGAGGCGGCACCCAAGGTACTTTGTTCATCTTTCCCCATCTCACTCCCACTGCCTGAACCTTTCTGGGAGCCTCCTCTTCCCTTTAGTTGCCGCCAGGGTCACCTGCAGGCCGCACAAGTGTAAGGCCTTTCTCAGTTCAAGTCAGAGGAATGTTCCGTGTCCCTAGCCCTCGGGTCTGCCTTATCTCAGTTCACAGGCCCACCCTGCGATCCGCTCCTCACTCTGTCTTAGAATCTTCTCACCCTTCCCCTCACCAGCTCCCAAGCGTAGCAGGGGTGCTTGTTTAAAAAGCTCAGATTGACTCTGGCCCTGCCTCAGTCTCTCTCTCTCTCTCTCTCTCTTTTTTTTTTTTTTTTTTTTGAGATGGAGTTTCACTCTGTCACCCAGGCTGGAGCACAGTGGCATGATCTCAGCTCACTGCAACCTCCACCTACTGGGTTCAAGCGATTCTTCTGCCTCAGCCTCCTGAGTAGCTGGGATTACAGATGTGCACCACCACACACAGCTAATTTTTGTATTTTTAGTAGAGACGGGGTTTCATCATGTTGGCCACGCTGGTCTCAAACTCCTGACCTTAAGTGATCCCGTCAACTTGGCCTCCCAAAGTGCTGGGATTACAGGTGTGAGCCACCGTGCCCGGCCATGCCTCAGAATCCCAGATGGATCTGGAGAGCTAGATCTTTTTCTTTTCCTTTGAGATGGGGGTCTCATTATGTTGCCCAGGCTGGAGTGCAGTGGCACTATCACAGTTCACCGTAGCTTCAACCTCCCAGGCTCAAGCTATCCTCCCACCTCAGCCTACCCAGTAGCTGGAACTACAGGTACACACCACCATGACCACCTAATTTTCTAATTTATTATTTGTAGAGATGGGGTCTTGCTATGTCTCTTAGGGTGGTCTCCAACTCCTGGGCTCAAGCTATCCTCCTGCCTTGGCCTCCCAAGGTGCTGGGATTACAGGTATGAGCCACTGCACCTGGCCAAGATGGGGTCTTGCTATGTTGCCCAGGCTGAGATCTAGATCTTAAAAGGCCCCAGGAGATGTTGGTAGTCTGCAAGTTTGACCACATTTCTGTGGTTACCAGAGACGCTAGTCAATGATGGAAGGTGGGAAGCACCCCCCTAGAGAAGATCAGAGATGCTTCCACCTGTTGGGGGGCACTTACCCCACAGGAGGAAGCCTGGGCAGCCTTGGGGTCAGAGGATGTGGGTCCTAGAGATGAGCCCGGTTGTCCCTCTCCTGGGAGTGTTTGCTTCTGTCCCGTGGCAACCTGTGAGTGACTGTAGAAGAGCTGGACAGGTTCTTGTGGACTGGACACCCCTTGGGGATGGCCTGGCCTGGCTCTTTGGCTGCTGTTGGATTTGCCCACATTTCAGCCGCCAGTGAGATCTCTGTCCTGCTTTGACTCTTGAGGGTTTTGATTCCAGAGATCAGAGGTCCAGCATCTATACCCACAGGATCAACAGTCAACACAACCAGCATCCTCCAAAGGAGGTGATGCTTAGCTCCAGCACCTCATCTCCTACTTCTGATCCATCTTCTTATTCCTTTCCCTGAACTTCCCACTGACCACTCTTTAGGAGCCTACACTAGGTCATTACAGTGCCATGGAGGGGCGAGGAGACCTGCAGACTTGGGGTTAAATCCCAGTCACGTAACCTCAGAGAGTTTTTGTTCCTATGTAAACCAGCAAACAGATGGTGTCAGCTGAGGCCTCTGAGATGTGATAAAAGACCGTGGGGAAGCACAGTGTCATTTGAATCCCATCTCTAGCCTTTACTAATCATACCTAAGCTACCTAGCCTCTCTGAGCCTCAGTTTTCTCTTCTGTAAAATGGGGATGTATTTATTGTCTATGGCTGCTGTAAGAATCCCCACAAATTTAGTGGCTTAAAACAATATAAATTTATCATCCTACAGTTCTGGAGGTCAGAAGTCCAACATGTGTCTCCCTGGGCTAAAATCAAGGTGTCAGTGGGGCTGCGGTCCTTCTGGAGGCTCTAGGGGAGAGAATCCATTCTCTTGCCTTTTCCAGCGTCTAGAGGCTCCATTCCATCCTCACAGCATCTTTAAATCTGACACTGACTCTCCTGCCTCCCTCCTTTACCCATAGGACCCTTATGATTACATTGGCCTACCTTGATAACCTGGGGTAATCTTCCACCATTTTTTTTTTTTTTTGAGACAGTGTCTTGCTCTGTCACCCAGCCTAGAGTGTGGTGGTGCAATCACAGCTCGCTGCAGGCTCGATCTCCTGGACTCAAGTGATTCTCCTGCCTCAGCCTCCTGAGTAGCTGAGACTACAGGTGTGCACCACCCTGCTTGGCTAATCCTTTGTTTATTTATTTATTTTTTTTGTAAAGATGGAGTCTTAGTATGTTGCCCAGGCTGGCCTCAAACTCCTGGGCTCAGGCAATCCCTCTGCCTCCCAAACTGCTGGGATTACAGGTGTGAGCCACCACACCCGGCAATTCGACCTATTTTAAGGCCCCTGATTAGCAAACATAATTCCATCTGCATCTTTTATTCCCACTTGCCTGGTAATAACATATTCGCAGGTTCCAGGGATTAGGACCAGGGAGGAAAATAAGGATAGATTGTGTCCTGGTATACATTGCAGGGAATAAGCTCCCTATACATGCTAGTGAATGCTGTTACTATTTTTGTTGCTAGAATGTGGGTGATTTCTCATAGAAGGGGAAGAAAAGCTTTAGAAACATGATCTCTGAGCCTCAGTTTCCTCATCTGGGAAATGGGAACATCCCACTGGTTGTGCAGGCTGTGGTGCGGTTCCGGGGAGATGCTGCCTGACTAGTGTTGAACTCTGTGCAGCACACGGCAGGTGCTTACATGACGGCAATTTGCGTTTTTTCTCCCATTAGTTGCTCAACCCCAGAAGGAGTCTCATTCCCCCCATGTCTCCTGTATGCTTTCTTCTGGTGTCATCATGGCCAGCTGGCACTCTGGCTGTGAGCAGAGCTCTGCCTAGAGCTTGTGACCCTGGCATTTTTGCCTGGACTCTGCACACCTGACTCCCCCTTGCCCATGGCCAGGAACAGAAGTCAGACTCAACTGTGGCTCCCAGCCCTTTCCTGGTGGTGACCCAGTGGCTGGGCTCCATTCTCCCAGCTGAGCACTCCAGGATATGGAGGGTGCCCCTGTCCCCTAGCTCCTGCAAAGTCCCTGGGGTATGCTCATTGGCTGTGAACACCATGGCCTAGGTCACTTGTTCCCCACTGCAGCCAATTTCAGAGGGTGGCTGGGGGATGCAATGCTCTTTTTGGCCAGGCTGGGTTCACAGGGTCATTTAGGAGCCAAGCCAAGAGAGGATGTTACAGGTGCTGGGCAGAGAAAGCCAGGCTGCCGCAGGCACCCTCTCCCTACCCCATGCCTGGCCTCCACCAAGCACTTCCTGACACCACCCATAGCCCATCCTCCCAGACAAACTTCCTCACTCATGAAACGTTGCATGTGCACGAATCTGGTCTCCCCTGAGGCTGCAGGCCACTTCCTGGGTGGGCCTAAGAGTTAGACTCCTGCCTGTAATCCCAGCACTTTGGGAGGCCGAGGCGGGCGCATCACGAGGTCAAGCGATCGAGACCATCCTGGCCAACAGGATGAAACCCTGTCTCTACTAAAAATACAAAAATTAGCTGGGCATGGTGGTGTTGCCTGTAGTCCCAGCTACTCGGGAGGCTGAGCCAGGAGAATCGCTTGAACCTGGGAGGCAGAGGTTGCAGTGAGGCAAGATCGCACCACTGCACTCCAGCCTGGCAACAGAGCGAGACTCCATCTCAAAAAATAAAAAAAAGTTAGACTCCTAATTAACACATCCTTTGCCTGTTATATCTTGGACAGCAAGTCACCTGCTTTATTCCCCTGAGCCTCAGTTTCTTCATCTGTGAAATGGGTGTAGTAACAAATCAGACATGCTTCCTAGGGCTGTTATGAGGACCAAATGAGCTAATTTACAGCAGTGACTAGTGCAGGGCCTGGCATATAGCAGGTGCTGGAAGGGGTGTGTCTCTTTCCATCTTGTCTTTTCTGACATGAGGTACACACCTGAGCTGTGCCACTGAGCTCCAGGACACACACTCAGCCAACCCTACCTCTCCAAGCCTCTGCTCTGAGTGGTAAATGGCGTTCACGATCCCTGCCTGAAATGATGCCTGTCAAGCAGCAGGTCTCAGGGACAGTAAATGGAGGCGGTGCTCATTGTAACCTTCATGAAAAACTTCCCCCAGCTTCTGGTGCGATGGGAACTTGGTGTCAGAATGCCTGGTTCTGAGTGGTGTCACCTCTCTGGGCCTCAATTTCCCCATCTATAAATGGGATCTCACCTGTAAGGGGTGAGTGAGTGATGTCATTATCCTTTATCTCCCTTTGACCTTCTCACGAGCCACAGAGCTGCCATTCAGCCTTTATTGATAGAAGACAGTTGCTCAATTCTACACTTACAGTCTTGATGTTGCCCAAACACGGAGTCTTTGTGAATAACAGTTTCAACATCTTATCAGGGGTCATGTTACACAAAGCAGATGAGCAGTGCAGGTCAGACGGGTAGCACTGGGATTGTGTCTAAGGGTGGTGGATACTCGGTAGAAAGTTCCAGAACTGGGAAAAACTTAAAGCTCGCCCTTCAAGGCGGGGCTTAATGCCAAAACTCCCAGGCAGCTGGCTGAGCTGTTGATTAAACAGAACATCCTGGCTCTAGGGTTCGGGAACTCCCAGACACCAAGT